>NC_000003.12:84555454-84858484 GCF_000001405.40 Homo sapiens
TACAATAAATGATAAATTAGAACCACTTCAACATTTACCTTGTTTTCTCTTTATTCCCATTAATGTTTTTCATATTGCGTTCTTCTCTCCCCTTCTTTAGTTGCTCACACCATTTCATCCATATGATTTCCTTTTTAAGATTTTCATCCTTTAATAGGTCACCCTTACAGTTAGTATTTGGAGACATAAAATGACAGTAGTTCATATGATTTTCTATAACTACATTCCTTTTTCTGTTTTTCTTAATTTATTTTCTGTTAACATGTTCAGTTTGGTTTGTATACAACCCACGCTCTCATAGGTATTCTGTGACTTCCACTTGTCTTTTTCTGTTGAAGTTTCCATAGAAGGGCACCTAGGAATACTTGCTGACTAGACAAAGTTTGTTTTCTTAAACTTGCAAGGCAGAACACCAGCCATCGACCATCTCAGGAATGTTTCAAAGAGGGAGGTCCAGCAGAATTGGTGAAACTTGGTAAAATAAACCAGTTACTGGAAAAGTGATGAGTTTATCTTTGGAATATTAGTCTGTGTAAAATCTGAGTTTAGTTAATCTATCTATGGTCTTATTGTGGAAAAATATGGCCATAACACTCGTTAAAATAATTTTCACTCAAGCTACACTGCATGGTATTGTTTTTCAGTTTAACTGTTTTGTGAGGCATGGTACAGTTACTTTCCAAATTTTGGGTTCTGTTTAATTTGTCATTTTTTTCTCCCTTACTCTATTTCCCTTCTTCCTTTTCTGTGAAGGAGAAAAATATCACCATTTAATATATGGGAAATATACTCAGTCATCTCATAACTAATACATAACAAAAGTAGACCTAAAATATGACTATAATCTAAATACTCTTTGCTTATTCTAGCAGCATTTCTAAATAGACTAGAAAATATTTTTAATGATTCATCATTTTTTATGTATACATGATTTTTATTGTATAATTGATGAAAATCAAAACCAAATTAATTAATGAACAATATATATTATGGAAACACTCATAATCTGAGACTACTTTATTATCATATTTTCAGTGTTAATACGTAATTAATTATGTCGTCAAACTGATTTTCAATGTTTTAAATGCAGACTGTGACGGTGTATTTTTAGTAAAAGCTCTAAAATGTTCCCTCACTGCTTTAGTGGTTACTTTATTTCAAATCATATAAATTGTGAAAAGAAAGAAAATTTGTGTTATTATAGCTTTCAGATGGAATTACAGGAGTCTTCTTTTAGAGGAATAGATGCCATTTATTTGAGAAATATGGTTCATGAAGTGAAAGTACAGGAAACAATGAAGGAGAATTGGATTAGAGATGAGCAAAGACGTTTCCCAACTCCCTCAGTGTTTTTGGAAACAGCACAATAAATGCGCAAGGTATTTGCTCAAAATATATAATACACCTGGGCATGAAATATCTCATCTATTTTATGTGCCAAACATAAAAAAAACAACAAACCATAACAGGAAAAAACAAAATAATGTATTTTTCTGTCTTCAAAGCATTAAAAGCTTCTGCTTATTTATATGACTTTGCTCAGTGAAAAATCTGTAAAATAAATAAGCTGTGCGCTACAAATAAGGACTAATTTGATGAATATAAATGAGGCAAGGTAATTTATTTAGATATTAATTTGTGTTTAATAATTTAAAGTCTCTCTTCTGATAAGTTATCCATAATTTTGCATTTATTTTTCTGGGTGAATGGATGCTGTCCTAGTATCAAAAGTTGGTTCAAGTCACTGGTTCTTCCTGCGATTTGTAAAATCCCAAACTAACTAAACCAAATATGCTAGCACTTTATAGAGTAAAGAGAAAACAGGGGTCAAGAATGAAGGAAAAAAATTTCCCAAACTTGGGAGAGATTCTTGAAGAGTGGAAAGCTCTAACTATTCAGAATGGTCTCTTTTGTGAGGTGTGAACCCCGCAGAACAGCTTTCTGACAGGTGCTCCTGGATAGCCAGGCTCTAAGTCTTTTGTTTGTTAGTTTGTTTGGTTGGATGGTTGTTTGTTTTGTTTTGTTGTGTTTTTTTGGGACAGAGCCTCACTCTGTCGCCAGGCTGGAGTGCAATGATGCGATCTCGGCTCACTGCAAGCTCCGCCTCCCGGGTTCAAGCCATTCTCCTGCCTCAGCCTCCTGAGTAGCTGGGACCACAGACGCCCGCCACTACGCCCGGCTAATTTTTGTATTTTTAATACAGATGGGGTTTCACCATGTTGGCCAGGATGGTCTCAATCTCTTGACCTCGTGATCCACCCGCCTCGGCCTCCCAAAGTGCTGGGATTACAGGCGTGAGCCACCGCACCCTAGCTCTAGGTATTAAAACACTTGATTTGACAGTATTTCCTGGCTCCAAGTTTGGCATGAAAGACGTAAGTCTGTGTAAAATTTGAGTTAAATTAGTCTGTCTATGGTCTTATCCTGGAAAATATGACCATAACACTGTTTATTAAAAACAATTTGAACTCAAGCTAGGCCAGTGAATCTCAAGGCTAGAAAATTAGACATTCACAGGGTCACCACAGCAGTGTGACGGCCAGAGTGGCCAATCAATGATTTGTCAGTGTGTGACAATCTGGGACCTTCAAATGACTCTAGAGAAAGGAAGATCTAATAATGAAGAATGGATTATTTACTAGTCCTACAGGACAGTGAGTTAGTTGAAGATCTCTCTGGAAAGTGGCAAACAACCAACATTAACCAAGTTACAGTGTTTCCTTCTGGGGACCATGAATGCAGATACAAATGGAGAACCACTAATCTGTAGACAGCCTCAAAATAAATGCTCAAATTTTATAAGGTACAAATAAGAATTATTATGTCATATCTTATGCTATGGCATTTGTTCTAAGCATATTGAAAGTGAAACACATGGTGTTCTTTCTAAGCACAGGAAAAAATAAATGGTCTTATGTGGTTCCTAGTGCTATATGAAAGGCTACCTCCAAGTACAAACTACAAAGTATTAAAAGAAACATCAAAATCATTTCAATGGGGCTAGGGTTCTGGTTTAATTTATTGTTCACCTGAAATCCATATTTAAACTTGTTTTTAAATTTTCAATAGAAAGCTAAAACTCACTATAAATTATAGAAGTGCACTGGTAACCTTAAATATATTAGAAATATACAACCCGTTATTTACCTCTTTGCCTAACTCCTCCATAATTTCTAAATGAACCCTAAACTTACATCCTCTGCAATTACAGTCTTCGCTTTTATTCTGAAGAAAGAGCAATATTATTTATTTTCACAAATAAGAAATTGTGAATATGTTATATAAATATATCAATTTGTAACTCTGTGTGTGTGTGTGTGTGTGCGCCTCTGGAATTAGGTACGTCTTTCTGGAGTTTCCTTATTAGTTATACATGGAGTTGTAAATTAATTTCCAGGCCTTGCTCTTTTAGCCCAGGACAAAGTTTCAGTAATATTTGCTCAAAAGTCTCCAGCTGAGTAGAAACATAAAAATATTCTCTCTATAGCTCCAGAGTTTCATATTTATCTGGCCCTTCACGTATTCTTTTAACTCTGTAGGCAAATTATTTTTATTTGCCCCATGGTATACATCTACTTTTTTGACAAATTGTACATGAATTTGAGGTCTGCTTTCTTCTAAAGCGTGTGGAAATATAAGTGAAAGAGTAACATAAACCTACAAATAAAAGGAGAATGAAGAAGAAATAAAGTAGAAAGAAAATATTAATACATATTTGAAACTGAAGTGCTAATGGTCAAATGGTAACGGACTAGAAAATCTATGCGTTGTAGACAATCTGACCTATGTAGCTTGCAGAAGCATGAAAAAGCTCACATGGTAGAAAAGCTCTTCTATACCAGGTATAGAAAAACATGGAGGCAGGCTGGGGTGGTGGCTCACACCTGTAATCCCAGCAATTTTAGAGGCCAAGGCAAGTGGATTGCTTGAGCCCAGAAGTTCGAGACCATGCTGGGCAAGATGGCGAACCTGTCTCTACAAAAAATGCAAAAATTAGCCAGGCATGGTGGCGCATAGCTGTAGTCCCAGCTACTCGGGAGGCTGAGGTGGGAGGATTGCATGAACCTGGGAGGTGGAGATTGCAGTGAACCAAGATCGCATCACTGCACTCACACACACAAATATATATATATTAAAAAAAAAAAAAAGGCTTTGGACATTAAAAGTCAAAATATTCTTTCAAAGTCCCTGTAAGAAAAACATACTATCTGGCCACCAGTTCTAACTGGAAGAGGCTGGTAAATGACCCTTCTCTATCTCCACAAAATCATAGACATGTGAAAATGCAACAAGCCTTATTAGAAACAAAACATGAAAAAAAAAACAAGCATGTTCTGATATTGAATAAAGATATGAATGTTAAACAAAATAAATCTACACGTAGACTCATTACAGTAAAATGAAAAATGTAATGTATTTGCTTACCATTTTTGCTGTTATAAATGACCACAAGTTTGGTAGCTTAACCTAAATTAATTGTCTTTCAGTTTTGGAGGTCAGAATTCTAAAATGGATGTTGACCATATGTCATAAAGGATACTAAGCACATATTTTTCACATCTAGGATTATTTAAGGTAGATTTTTCTGATTAAGCAATAGAATTTTTAATAATTGCTTTTTCTTTTAAAATAGAAAAATGTATAGCCTAATAAGAGATTTGTCTCTATGCTTTCTGTGAGCAGAGATTCCCAGATGGTGAGTGTTTTAAAAGTTTTCTTTTGTGTAATGTGAGTTCTGCCTATACAGTTTAGTTGAAAATTTTCAGAGTGTTTCAAGGGATGACTGTGAATTTCAATTTTTATAAAGGAAAGTTGAATGCAATGTAAAAAAAAAAGGGTAATGAGAGATTGGCACGTGAAACAAGGTCGTGCTTTTGGGTATGGTGTCATTAAAAATTCAAACTGAAGCTTTTTATTAATTTTATTTAACCTTGTTAGCCACTACGATTTTGTGTGTGGCAAGAGAGCTTTCTCATGGCAGAGAAGAGAAGAGCTGGTTCACAGTTAATTCTACAAATTACTTTAAAAAGGTCACGTATGTCTTCATACCTTTTAAAATCTATATTCAGATAAAGAATATAATTGTCAGTCAAATTTTTTAAAATTTCAACTATAGCATGCAGATTTGAACTTTATGTATATGATGTTCTCTGTGTTTTAGCATTTCTTTCCATTCCTTTCCAATTCAATTTTCATACACAGAGTTCTCCATAAAATCTCTGACTGGTTCTTTGCCAGTAACTGTCTTATTGATAAATTGTAGCTATAGATCCCTTCCAGGCTCTGCTATTGTAGAAAATTTCTATACTTTGGAGCACTGCTACCAAAGTTTGGAAAGACATTCTGAGTAACAATCCATAGTTATAGAAAATAAGAAAAGAAAAGTGTTATTAATCCGAGCCTATATTCCACATACATATGCTTTCTAGGAAAACAGTCATTGGATGAAATTTTTCTTGGAGAATGACAAAATGAACCTTTATGGAAAAGGGAAGAATGAATAAATAAATACAAACATACTGGATACATAACCAACCTGAATTTTACTCCATGATATAATTATAAAGGGGGTAAATCAAATGGTATCTCAGCCTTTAATAGCAAGACATTCAATGCTTTACGGAAGAGGGAAATTTTTGTTAATATCTGTAACTACACTAATTCTATCTATAGAACCACTGATAATTCAGGGTAAGCATAAAAGCTGCTGTAATAGGGAAATCTCTATCTTCTATATAACTTTAGTTTAGGATTATTCTGACTTAAAATGTTTAATTATATCCTAAGCCACAGAAGAGTTAATTATGTTATAAGCCAAAATATGTCTTTACCCATGATCTTGAATTTGACAACTTATGATATACCAAATGAATATAGACTTTCTCCTAAAAGTGGTCCAGTGTTTCCAAGTTCAAAACAAGTAGCAAAAAATATTTTATTTTCATGTAAAACAAGACACATGTCCATAGCCCTAGAAATTGTTTAAGAACACAGATTCTGGAGTCAAATTGCCTTGACTGGAATCTAGACATTTTTCCACATATTAGCTATGTGGTCTAAGGCTAGTGATATCATATATTTGTGCCTCAGTTCAATCCTTTGTAAAATAAAGTTAATGATAAAGTGTGCACATGTTAGGATTATCATGTTCAAAGTGTTTAGAACAGTACGGTGCATAAAACAGCATAGACTAAGTACTACATATGTATATGTGTGTGTGTGTATATATATACACACACACACACACACACACATACACACACACGAATATGTTAAACTATCTGAATTTCTCCATCAAACTCTAGCTGTATATATGTATACACATAAATATGTTAAACTATCTTGAATTTCTCCATCAAACTCTAGCCCCAGTTCTTTCTAATTTGGAGTGTTTAGAACAGAAATTGAAGCTTCTGGTATTGTTGAACAAGTGTGGTTCCTTTATTTTTCTAATTGAGCTATTGTTATTTCAATATTGGATGTTATTTTCTTTTTTTTTTTTTTTTTTTTTTTTTTTTTTGAGACGGAGTTTCGCTCTGTCGCCCAGGCTGGAGCGCAGTGGCGCGATCTCGACTCACTGCAAGCTCCGCCTCCCGGGTTCACGCCATTCTCCTGCCTCAGCCTCCCGAGTAGCTGGGACTACAGGCGCGCGCCACCATGCCCGGCTAATTTTTGTATTTTTAGTAGAGACGGGGTTTCACCGTGTCAGCCAGGATGGTCTAGATCTCCTGACCTCGTGATCCGCCCGTCTCGGCCTCCCAAAGTGCTGGGATTACAGGCGTGAGCCACCGCGCCCGGCCTCAATATTGGATGTTATTTTCTATTTTGGAAATGGCATTTACATTTTGAATATTGAACTAGGTAGGGGTCAAAATCCTGATGCTTTGCTGCTAAACTATGATTCTTTCTCTCTAAACTTAAAACGCATTGAGATAAAAAGACAGACCTCACATTTTGCCAACACACTTCACCTTATTTAGTACAAAATACTTAAACCAAACATTTTAAATAAGAATACAGATGTTTCTAGTTAGTGAATTAGTTATTTGTGGTAAACATTAGTTTGGTTCACCAAATGTTCCTGGCTCTTTCGCTTCCTGGAAGTTGCACTTCCAACCCCATTTTAACCAATAAGATGAGAGTGGAAAGTGAGTGACACTTATTGGTGTAAACTCTACACCGTTCTCCCTCTTGTTTACTTGAGTTAGGATACTAGGGAGGATGTCCCAGTTCTTCTACAGTGAGAATGAAACATGAGTGCAAAATAGACTTTTGCAGTATTCAGATAATACAGACTAGGAAGGGTCTAAGGTTTTCCCTGCTTGTAAGCCTGCAAGTTAGTCTGTTACAATTTCATGTCCATATACTGAAAGAAGAGCATAAGATCCTTAGATCAAAGGAATAGACCATGTATTACTGTCAGCAAAATCTACAGAGTACTTCCTCCAGGATTCTCACAGCAGGATGAAGTTTAATTGTTTAGATGTGCATGCAGGGAGCTGTACTACAGGGGAGGAAACCCAGAAAAGATTCTAAGTTTGTATGGAACTGGTGATACATCTGCCTATCCTCTCCTCTAGAGTAAAAGCTCTTAGTCATTAAGCAGCTCTCTTTCCGGGAGACAGAGAGATGTCTCTATGTTTATTATCCTGCAGTATGTTAAATGTGTTAGAGGAAAAATAAGACAAGAACTTTACATTTCTGAATCTCTCCAGAGGAATACACTATCTCTAGCTTCCAAGGCATGTTTGTCTTTCAAATATGCCTTTTGTTCAGAAAGCATGAACTGTACTCCTTAGAATTTATATCTCAATACTACCGAGATTTGGAGATTGTTACATTTTATTTAAAATATTTCACCTACTTATTATCAAAACATATACATAATTATTAAGACAGATTTTTTTCTAAAATAACAAAGCTATATGAATTGTCCTATAGATTATCTTTGTCTTACTTCTAATAATCTAAGAAAAAAAATTTCGAGCATCTCTACGTGACCACTTAGCTGGCTACAGAAAATAACCCCTAGGAGATTACATATGGGCTTTTACCACATACAAACACACATGAAAAAATAAAATGTGAGTCAGATATAAAACTAGCTGAAGTGTTCAAAGCAGCTCTAAAGTTTTACTATTCACTGGCAATTGATGAATTTGATGAAATGTGCTTACTACAGCGAAAGAGAAATAAACAGTGTAATAAAACTCTTTATAACATAGTTTTAACTTTTTAGAAATCTGAAGCAGGCAATAATTTTGGATATATATATATTCCCCCAAAAAAGTTTGCGTTCAAATAAATTTCAGATATCTTATGTAAAGATACCCTAAATTTATCTCATACAAGTTACCCTACATGTATTTGAACACAATCTTTTTTTTCTCACAATGCACGTAAAATCTTGTGAAAATAATGCTGCAGACAAGACAAACTGCAAAACACTAGGAAGTACAATCAGATGCAATAACATTAAAATATAGTTCTACAAGAATTTGGAAATTTGGAAATGAAGAATATATTTTCAGAGAAAAAATTCTCAGGATTCAAGACAAGCCATACATAAGAAAATGAAGCTCTTCTTGTGTAATAGAAACATCAATCACTTTAGATATATGGTTATTCAGTCCAGCAGCTTTTTCTCCTCTCATCTCTTCTTCACCTCTAAACTATATGCTATACTCAAAGCATACTGACTTCAAATTTGAAGATCTATCTATGCTGAACTCCAGGTCAAAATACATCCGATGTAGATGTTTTACATACATCTCTGTGTTGACTACCGTTGATTTGCACTCAGCTTTCAGCTTTCATGCCCACCTGCTTCAAATACATCTTCCTGAAACAAAGTTCTGAAAGCTAAAATCTGCGTTTCCCAGAACACACTGCGGTGAATACTCTGCCAATCAATTTCTTCCAGTTAAATGCATTTGTGCAGTATTTGTAAGGCAATTGTTTTTCTTATCCTGCGATCACGAGGACAGATCTAGAGAAACCTTCTCTCAGTACCCCAAGAGGTGAATGATTGAACAATGAAATGTGGAGACTGGTCACTGCCGCCATCACAGTATTCCCAAAGTTACAGGCTGGGCAATGGGACATTATTGTAGAAAACACTTATGCACAATGCCAAAGCAACAAGGAGATAGTCTCTGATAAATCTTGAATGATAACTTTCCCTGATTCTCTGTGTTAAAATAATGGCTTCCTTCTCTTCTGCTTCCACAATTTACATAATTTGCACATATGCTGCTCATGTATGACTCCCACAATAAATTGTAAAACACTTTGGACAATATAGGACACTTTAAAATGAGACAGTACTGATGGATTTATGCTAATCAAGACAGTGCTGCCAATATCATTAAGCACATAGGCCAAAAGAGTAGATGTGAATGACAAAAGAAACGAGGATGTTCTTACTAAAAGAATGGGTGGTCAAAAAAGCAACTGAAGATTATCATAGGATTGCAACCTGTAAATTTTATTATTGCTTTAATTTTTCCAAATATGAAAATGTTGTTTACTGCAATTCGGCAAACATTAAAATATGGTTGAAATGTCATTATCACTCAGAAACAGAATTGGTAGAGAATAAAGAGTCAGGTTAAAGTTTAAAAAATTGATGATCATATAATCTAGTTAGTGTTAGAAGTAGAATTGAGTGACTATATTTGAGATACAGTATTTAACATGTGCCTATTGCATAATGTGTTATAAATCCCTGAAGAAAACGGTTATGTACAGAGCCTTCAAACTTCTACTTTCTTCATTCTAATGCATTGAGAATGTCAACTCTGATGACTTATAGTCCAATTATGAACTTTACCATTAGAGCATTCAATCTGAATCTTAGTTGTTTTTAATAATAATAATGATAATAATAATAATAATTCAGAACAGTTTATCGTCAGAAAGAATTTCTGAGAAGCAATTTCCCATGAAAATTAAAAGAGTAAAAGCATTCTTTTGTTTAGTTCTTCCACCCAAGATAAAGTTCATGGTCTCAGTGGGCTCAGCACAAGAATTCATAAAACATGATCTAAAATCCTCTGTTTTCTTTATGAAGAATGCTTATATAACCCTGCATAATGTGTACTTAGAATGGCAGCCTACGAGAGCAAAGCTTGTTTCACTCTTTCTGAGAACTGTGGCAGGATCTCAATCCCACATTTACATTCTTTTTCCCAGATACATCTCAGAATGTTGAGAGACGTTTAACAAAAAATGAGAATATTATCTCCCTAACCTACCTAGTTGGTCAATAATCAATTATCATAAAATATAAAACTGATATGAAGAATTTAAAACGTTTTTATTCATAGTCATTTCTTCAGGATAAAAAATGGTGCTGAATTTGACAGTGGCTTACAATATATAATTTGAGAACATGTTTTCTTAAGAAGCTGAGTGGTATTCTTTGTAAATACACTTCTATGTGACTGGACATTGAAAGGAAATATTAAGTTTACTTCAGAGAATTTTTTGTTTCAGGTTAACCAAACAACTTATTTTGTCTTTATAGTGCTGCTTGTTTCTTTCTTATTGTCTTGTTTCTCCACAGACTACTACAAAGTATAGTAGTTTCTCTAAAAGGTAAAATTAAATCTGTCACTCCTTAGGCACTTATACTTTGGGAGGATTTAAACACACACACACACACACACACACACACACACACCACAGACATTTATTAAATTGTCTTCCAAGTACTACATTAGAAAACAAGTAGATGCTGTTATTTATTTATATAAAATTTCAGTGTAAAATACATCTCTCAGACAGGAGGCATTTAAATTGAGATGTCTAATTCAAAGTACTTTTCTTCCCATTCCCATTACACCTTGCACATACTGAAATCATAACATTGATTATACTGAATTATTATAATATGGTAAGAAGTTGTCAACCCCTTTCCCAACCTCTACTATGAGCTCCTGGAGGGCAAATCTGTGTTTGATTCATCTTTATATTCTGAATGCCTATGTCAGTGCCAGCACATAATAAATCCTCTCTAAATATTTACTAAAAAGGCCGGGCATGATGGCTCATGCCTGTAATCCTAGCACTTTGGGAGGCCGAGGCAGTTGGATGACCTGAGGTCAGGGGTTGAAGACCAGCCTGGCCAACATGGGGAAACCCCATCTCTACAAAAAATACAAATATTTTCTGGGTGTGGTGGCATACGCCTGTACTCCCAGCTACTTGGGAGACTGAGGCAGGAGAATCACTTGGACCCAGGAGGCAGAGGTTGCAGTGAGCCGAGATCACGCCACTGCATTCCAGTCTGGGTGACAGAGTGAGACTCTGTCTCAAAAAAAAAAAAAAAAATTGCTAGATGAAGAAGAATGAACACATTTGTTGTTGATTTTTTTCTTTGACGTGTTTGTCGCATCTACAAGTCACATATAAATTGATGAAAACTGAAATGTTACCATATGACATAATTTTAAATGGCCTCATAATTTTATTTCTCTTCTCACAACATGTTATTTAACTTCTTATTTATTCTATCAAGTAGTTATATACATATAAAAACACTTACAATGTGGTGGAGGCTTTTCCTCCCCCTTTCCAGACACGTTGCTCGGAACCTTCCTATTTTTCATGTAATAATATATCTCAGAGATCTGTTCATATTAGAACATAATGACTTTGACATTTTTAACAGCTAAATAATATTCCATTCTAAGATGACAAAAAATTATATAGTAATTTCTGTGTAGTTTGGCTTTTAGAGCCTCCACTCAATCTTGTGCTAGAGCAGACAACACTATAAGTGAGCCAAATTTTACAGGTCAATTACATATATATATGAAATGCAATATGTCGGACAAATTCTCAAAATCAGATTTTCTGTGTCAAAATTACTTTTGTAAAATATATAAGACTAACAACGTGCCTTCCACATGGATTGTGCCAATTTACCTCCTTTCCAGCAATTAATAAGAGTTGGTAGTTTATACATCATTTCCAATAAACTGAGTTATCAAATTTGAACTTTTGTCAATCTCCTCTACTAATTTTAGTCTAGATCTCTGTCTTAATAAATGGGGTTGGATATCTCTTCATAGGTATAAATGTCTTTTTGTGTTTGTTCTTGAGCTTTTGTCCATTTTCCCATTTTGTTAGAAAGTAGCCGTTTGTTTGCAGGTGATATTTATATAATAGTGAGAGAAGTACTGCTAATTTATGTCTGTGATAATGTGCTATAAATATTTTATATTGATATTTATATAGTTTATGTATGTATGTGTATGTATGTGTGTGTGCATAAATATGTGTGTGTATATATACACACACACACACACACACACACATATGAATGGATGTGTGTATGTATGCCAAAACTGATCAGTCTTCATGAGTTTAAAAATATCGGAGTGTTAAAATCAGTATTGTATTAGTCAGGGTTCTCTAGACGGACAGCAACAGTAGGATATATATATATGAAAAGGGGTTTATTAAGGAGTATTGACTCATACGATCACAAGGTGAAGTGCCACAATAGGCCATCTGCAAGCTGAGGAGCCAGGAAGCCAGTCCAAGTGCCAAAACCTCAAAAGTAGGGAAGCTGACAGTGGAGCCTTCAGTCTGTGGTCAAAGGCCCCAGAGCCCATGGCAAACCACTGGTGTAGGTCCAAGACTCCAAAAGCTGAAGAACATGGAGTTCGATGTTTGAGGGCAGGAAGCCTGCAGCACAGGAGAAAGATGGAGGCCAGAAGACTTAGCCAGTCTAGTCTTTCCATGTCCCCCGGTCTGCTTTTATCTTAGCCACACTGGCAGCTGGCTAGATGGTGTCCAACCAGATCAAGAGTGGGTCTGTCTCTCCTAGTCCACTGACTCAAATGTTAATCTCTTTTGGGCAACACCCTCACAGATACACCCAGGAACAATACTTTGCATCCTTCAATCCAGTCAAGTTGGAACTCAATAATAACCATCACAAGTATTAAGTCTCATTAACCTGGAGCTTTTATGACAATTGCAGTTGAATTAAATGCAGTCTAATACTCCTGCCAGCTGTGAATATTTATCTGCTAGGAAGATATTTTGTTAAGTAGAAATGTAAACCATAAATACTATATATGCTTAATAAAATAATATTTAAACTGGTTTAAAATAAAATTATTAAATAAATGAAAAAGCAACATAAAAATTTAATGGTAAGATAAAAACCTGAATTAAATATTTTCATCTTTCCAATGGTCAGTTTTCTAAAGTGTCAAAAGAATACTGTCATAACTTTACAATATAACTTCATCAAAACTGAGCATCTTCACTTCTTTGTTTTTTCTATGTATTATGAATCCAACTTAGAGTTTACAATAGACATATGATAATTCCAAAATCAAATCCAAGACCCTTCTACTGCTGTCACTGTCACTTTAATAGGATAATAGCAACATGAACATGCTACTTAGGCCCTTTATGTTTTAATAACCAGAGATGCCTTCAACTTTCCTGACAAAAGAAAATTATTTTATGATGCCTGTGAACTGGAATAAAAACCAAGAGTATTCTTGCAATCTTTCTCTTCAGTGGCACCTCTAAAATACTCTTGGTTATTTTCCTCCTGTCTCCTCCTCCCCTCTGTGTTTTAATAACATAATTTTGTTTTGTCAAATTATTTTATTTGCCTCTTGGGCAGAGCCCTTAATCAAATTCAGGGTACCAATGGATTACCATATATACAGTGCCCTCTAATAGTCAAACTAAAGTTTCCTTCAAGAGGTAAAGAAAATGTAGTGGTTTTTTTGTTTGTTTGTGTGTGTGTCTGTGTGTGTGTGTGTGTGTGTGTGTGTGTGTGTGTGTTTTGAGACGGAGTCTCGCTCTGTCGCCCAGGCTGGAGTGCAGTGGAGCGATCTCTGCTCACGGCAAGCTCCGCCTCCCCGGTCCACGCCATTCTCCTGCCTCAGCCTCCAGAGTAGCTGGGACTACAGGAGCCCGCCACCACGGCCTGCTAATTTTTTTTTTTTTTTTTTTTTTTTAGTAGAGACGGGGTTTCACCCTGTTAGCCAGGATGGTCTTGATTTCCTGACCTCTGATCCTCCCGCCTCTGCCTTCCAAAGTGCTGGGATTACAGGCGTGAAGAAAATGCAGTTTTAAGGAACATAGGAGCAAGGCACATAACATACTCTTTAAAATTAACTTAAAATGTCTAGCTTTTCTTGTTCTAGTCATTTGACATTTGCATAAAGCATGTGACTTTTGTTTTAATCTTTCAGAAAAGCCCTCCATATACTCCAAACTAGCTCTGATCATTTCAGGTTATATTATAAAAGAAATTAAGACAAAATCATTAATGGACACAGATTTTAACAATTAAATGTAAGCTTATTGACATATAAAAGATCATATTAACTAGTAATAAAGATAAAAGTAAGTAAATAACACAAAGGTAAAAATTAGTAGATTGTTTAATAGAATAGAATTTTCTTCTTGCTAAAGGAATAGTTTCTTATTTCAGTTATGGTTGTAGGTATTTGTTGAGCTCTGTCATCCTTGTGAAGAAACACCTTTGTTCTGCTTCATCAGTGCGTGCTGTGATATGTAATTTACTGGTCAGAAAATATGCATTATGCTATCTTTGGTCAATCTGCAGCTGTTAACATTGGTTTTTACCATGTTACACACATGCATACACAGCTGGCTTCTGAAAGAATCACTTTATCATTTAACAAAGGAAGATACAGTATTATATGGAATTAAATTAAAGAATATATATCACATAACTCTTCCTGCAACATCTAAGCCTAATGGAGTCAGTTAAGGTCAGATATTTCAGTTTTGACTGTGCAGTTATATATAAATGTAGATTTAGTGAAGCAGAGGGATATTTAGTCCCACCATCCTCATTAATGTCACTAAAAATTTCATGCCTAAATTTGCAAGTATTATATTTCAAGTGAAACCTGCTGTTATTTACTTTCCAGCTTCTTTCTGGCACATTTATTCTTTATGTTCAGAATTGTATTTAAAAAGGCTGAATGGAATCTCCTTTGGAAATACAGCAGGTGGTAGGATTAATATAGAACCATGTGGCAAATAAGTTGTTTTCATATTTAGAAAGGAAATCCTAGCCTCTGATTTCAGAAGGAAAATTTTTGGTTTCTTCTACTATTAAGTAGAAATTTATTTTCTAAAAATTTTTTTTACATATTTATGAATTGTTAGCAAAAACATGATAACTTGATTTTATGAATTTGGTTTTGTATATATTAAATAGTTGAAACTTCATTGACAACATTAAGTTTGTTTTCTAGGCTCTATTGGGATAAAGAATAAAAAGAAATGTAATCAAACCATCTCAAGAACAGCACTGTGAACCTGTGAACAATCTCCAAAGTTAAGCCATTCTAGCGAGATTAACAAAAGACTATAGTTTTCCCCATGAGATACTGAATAGAGACACTGAAGGAAATGTTCTGGTATGTATCGAGTGCTATGTATATATTCCTGCCTGAAATGAGTTAAAGAACACCAATTAAGTGTGCTTTACATGCAAGGTAACTTTTCTTTTAGTGGAAAAGTGTAAAGGTTTTAGGAAATATATCTTCAAATTTCAGCTTATATAAAAGGTTGATGAGTTCCTACAGCACTTGGCAAAATAATGCAAATTAAAGAAGATTTTTTTTTCAATTACCAAAACAATGTTAAAAACAATTTAACAAAGCTTGTGGCATAACACAAAGAAGTACATGACACCAAGGAACAAAGAAGCCACACTCACAATCTGTAATAGGTAAAGAATTTTCACACGGCCACTGGCTTCACCAAAAATGAGATTCGATTCCTACAACATGTAGCAACAACTTCACACAGAGACTGCTAAAGTTAAAAATAAAATAGCACATTAAAGTATAGGTAGGTGATTTTAATAACTTTTTTCTGGAGGAAGATGAGATTTCTTCATAGAGCATGCATTAAAATGTGAAAGAGGGACTCCCATGATTAATCAAGCTCTTTCTAGAGACCAGTAAGAATGAATGTCATGCTTAAATGAAGTATATAATGACTCTCTAATTATTTTGAATACCTGAATGGAAAAAATACAGAAATACTAATACCATTAGCATTTTAGCAATGATATAAGAAAGATGGTGGAATAGGAGGTTCTTGTCTTCATCTTCCCACAGAAACACTGGTTTAACACCTATCCATGAATAACATTATCTTCTGTATTAGTCCCTTTTCATGCTGCTGATAAAGACATACCTGATAATGGGAAGAAAAAGAGGTTTATTGGACTTACTGCTTCACATGGCTGGGGAGGCCTCACAGTCATGGTGGGAAGTGAAAGGCACTTCTTATACGGCAGTGGCAAGAGAAAATGAGGAAGAAGCAAAGGAGAAACCCCTGATAAACCCATCAGATCTCATGAAACTTATTCACTATCATGAGAATAGCACAGAAAAGACTGGGCCCCATGATTAAATTAACTCACCCTGGGTCCATCCCACAACACAGTTCTGGAAGATATACTTCAAGTTAAGATTTGGGTGGGTAAACAGCCAAACCATATCATTCCACCTCTGGCCCCTCCAAATCTCATGTCCTCACATTTCACAACCAATCATGTCTTCCCAATAGTCCCCCAAAGTCTTAACTCATTTCAGTATTAACCCAAAAGTCCACAGTCCAAAGTCTGATCTGAGACAAGGCAAGTCCATTCTGACTGTGAGCCTTTAAAATCAAAAGCAAGCTAGTTACTTCCTAGATACAATGAGGGTACAGGTATAGGTAAATGAAGCCACTCCAAATGAGAGAAATTGGCCAAAACAAAGGGGTTACAGGGCCCACACAAGTCCAAAATCCAGTGGGTGAGTCAAATTTTAAAGTTCCAAAATGATCTCTTTGACTCCAGGTCCCACATCCAGGTCATGCTGATGCAAGAAGTAGGTTCCCATGGTCTTGGGCAGCTCCACCCTTGTGGCTTTGTAGGGTACAGCCTTCCTCCCAGATGCTTTCACGGGCTGTCATTGAGGGTCTGTGGCTTTTCCAGGTGGATGGTGCAAGTTTTTCTTGGATCTACCATTCTAGGGTCTGGAGGACAGTGACCTTCTCACAGCTCCACTAGGAAGGGCTTCAGTAGGGATTCTGTGTGGGGGCCCCAAACCCAGATTTACTTTCTTCCACTGCCTTAGCAGAGGTTCACCATAAGAGCCCTGCCCCCGCAGCAAACTTTGCTCTTGAGTGGGTCTGGTGCATACATCTTCTGAAATCTAGGCGGAGGTTACCAAACCTCAATTCTTGACTTCTGTGCACGCACAGTTTCAACAACACATGGAAACTGCCAAGTCTTGGGACTTCAACCCTCTGAAGCCACAGCCAGAGCAGTATTTTGGCCCTTTTCAGCCATGGCTGGACCAACTGGGACACAGGACACCAAGTACCTGGGCTGCAAACAGCACGGGGACCCTGAACCCAGCCCACAAAACCACTTTTTCTTCCTGGGCCTCCAGGCCTTTAATGGGAGGGGCTGCTGAGAAGGTCTCTGACATGGCCTGGAGTCATTTTCCCCATGGCCTTGGGGATTAACATTAGGTTGCTTGCTACTTATGCAAATTTCTGCAGCAGGCTTAAATTTCTGCAGCAGGCTTGAATTTTTACCCAGAAAATGGGTTTTTCTTTTCTACTGCATTGTCAGGCTGCAAATTTTCCTAACTTTTATGCTCTACTTCCCTTATAAAATTGAATGCCTTTGATGGCACCCAACTCATCTCTTGAATGCTTTGCTGCTTAGAAATTTCTTCTGCCAGATACCCTACATCATCTCTCTCAAGTTCGGAGTTCCACAAATCTCTAGGGTAGGGGCAAAATGCTGCCAGTCTCTTTGCTAAAACATAACAAGAGTCACCTTTGCTCCAGTTCCCAACAAGTTCCTCATCTCCATCTGAGAACACCTCAGCCTGGATTTTATTGTCCATATCACTATAAGCATTTTGGACAGAGCCATTCAACAAGTCTATAAGAAGTTCCAAACTTTTCCACATTTTTCTGTCTTCTTCTGAGCCCTTCAAACTGTTACAATTGATGCCTGTTATGCAGTTCCAAAGTCACTTCCACATTTTCAGGTATCTTTGTAGCAATGCCCCACTTTACTGGTACCAATTTACCATATAGTCCTTTTTCGCAATGCTGATAAAGACATGCCTGAGACTGTAAAGAAACAGAGGTTTAATTGGACTTACAATTCCACATGGCTGGGGAGGCCTCACAATCATGGCAGGAGATGAAAGGCACTTTTTACATGGCAGCAGCAAGAGAAAATAAGGAAGCAGCAAAACCGGAAACTCTGATAAACCAATCAGATCTCATGAGACTTATTCACTATCACAAACATAGCACAGGAAAGACCGGCTCCATGATTCAATTACCTCCCCCTGGGTCCCTCCCACAACACATGGGAATTGTGGGAGATACAATTCAAGTTTAGATTTGGATGGTGACACAGCCAAACCATATCATTTTCCTAACGCTCACAAACCAGCCCAAATAGCACAGTGTTGAGAGATTCCCTTGGCCCACAAGATATCCTAAGAATAAAAGTAATAATAAAGTTAGCATTCAACTTGGCTGTGGATTTTGGAACCAGGCCACTTTGCCCATAGACTATGGCACCAAAGTACAGTTAATAAACTCTGGCACCAGATCAGCTTAAGCATAGACACTAGCAATAAGCACATGTGACTGTAGACCTCAGCACCAAATCCACATGCAGATCCCAGCACCAGACCCACTCAACAACAAACCCTAGCAGCAGACCCATTAGACTGCAGACCCAGCAGTCAGGGTCACCCATCCACAAATGGGTGATCTAAACTCAGGCAATCCATGGACCCTAGCATGAGGCCTACATGCACACGGGTATGGCACAAGGCCTGATTGTTCTTAATTTCCATCATCAGGCCCACCTGTCCACCCAACCATGGACCCCAGATTACTTACCAGGCCTACGCAGAATTTCTGGACAGACTGACTAGTGAGGGGTTTTCCCTGCCAAATCTTGTTTATGAAGACTGAAAGAGGTTACTGTTTTAAAAATGTGTACACATGAATACAAGGATAGAAAGGTCACAAAAATCATAAAAAAACAGACACTACCAAAGAACAATATAAAGTATTGCTAACCAACCCTGAAAAACAAAGATCCATGAACTGTCTGGCAATGACTGCAAACTAATAATCTTAAAGAAGCTTAGTGAGCTACAGAAGAACACAGATAACTAAACAATACCTGAAGGACAATACATAAACAAAATGAAAAATTCAATAATGAGGTCAAAAATATCAAAAAGAAAACACAGAAATTCTGGAGCTGAACAATACAACAAATGAGGTGAAAAATCCAATAGAGAGGTCCTATAGCAGACTTAATTCTGAAGAGGGAAGAATCAATGAGCTTGAAGACAGGTCCTTTGAAATTATCCAGTCAAATAACAGAAAAAATGTTTAAAAACGAAGTGGGTTCTGAGACATCTGGGATATCATTAAGTGAAGCAAATAAACATTATGAGAGTCACAGTAGGATTTAAAAAAAAGGATAGAATGTTTACTTGGAAAAATGATTGCTGAATACTTCCCAAATCTGGGGAGGAAAATAGACTTTGAGAATCATGAAGCCCCAAATGACCTGAATAGGTTGAGCCTAAACAGGTCTATACCAAGACACATTATAATTAAATTGTCAAATGTCAAATACAAAGAGGGAATTTCAAAAACAGCTGGTGAAAAGTGGCTCTTTCATTCTAAGGAACAGCTGTACTACTGTCAGCCGATTTCTCAACATAAATCTTGCAGGCCAGGAGAGCATGGGATGACAGATGCAAAGTATTGAAAGAAAAAAAAAAACCTGCCAAATAAGAATATTATATTCAAAAAAACTGTCCTTTAAAAATAAAGGAGATAAAAATTTCCCCCAAACGAGCAAAAACTAGACCTACCTTACAAGAGTGCTGAAGGGAGTTTTTCATGTTGAAATAAAAGAATGTTAAACAGTAACACAAAAGCATATAAAAGTATAAATCTCAGTGGCAAAAGTAAATATATAAATAAATACAGAATAATGTAGTATTGCAGTGGTGCTGTGTAACTCACTTTTAAATTTAGTGTAAAATTTAAAAGACCAATGTACAAGGAATAGTTATAACTTTCGTAAATTAGTTAATGGATACAATACAAAAAGAAGTAAATCTGACATCAGAAACACAAAGTGTGTGGGGAGAGGAAAAATAGAGACTTTTGTATGCAATAGAAGTTAACTGGTTATCAGGTCAAAATAGACCTTTAGAGCTATAAGAAATTTTATGTAAGCCTCATAGTAACCACAATGAAAAAAACTAAAAGTGGATACCGAAAAAGAGAAAAAGAATCAAAATATATTACCACAAAAATTATCAAATCAAAAAGGGGGATAGCAAGAGAGGAAAGCAGGAACTAAAAAAACTATAAAACATAATAATAAGTCCTTAGCTATCAATAATTAAATGTTAATGGATTAAACTCACCAATCAAATATATAGAGTGCCCAAATCGATTTTTTAAAATATCAAATAATTTTTCTTTGCCTGCAACATATTCCCTTGGATTTAAATACATATATAGGCTGAAAGAGATGACATATAAAAATATATTCCAAGAGAATGGTCACCAAAAAAGACAGAAATAACCATACTTATAGCAGATTAAATATACCTCACATCAAAAACTGCCTCTAGAGACACAGATTATTATATAATGATTTAAAAAATCAATTTGAAAGGAAGCTATAATATAGAATATAATATATATTTGTTTATAATTTTGATTTACATATATTACTTTACATATATGTATGTACATACATACATACATATGAATGAAGCCCCAAAGGACCCTAATAGGTTAAGTCTAAAAAGATCTATACCAACCCACATTATAATTAAATTGTCAATGTATATACATATATGTGCATACATACATACAATTACATATAACTATTGCTTTACATTATTTATAATTATTGCTTTACATAAGAAAATTCTCACTTTGCATAATGTTGGATATATATATGTATACATATATACACAACTATATATATGTATACATATATATATATCCAACTATATATATATATGTATACATATATATATCCAACTATATATATATATCTCCAACATTAGTGTACTTAAATATGTAAAGCAAGATCTGAGAAGGGAAGTAGATAGCAATACGGCGATAGTAGGAGACTTCAATACTACATTTACAACAATGGACACATATTCCAGACAGAAAATCAGTAGGGAAATAGTGAACTAGAAAAATATTATAAATAAAATGGGCCTAAGAAACATACAGAACATTCTACCCAACAATAACAGAATATATATTGTTCTTAATTGCACATAGAAACTTCCGACTAACAGATCATATGATAAGTTGCACAAAAAGCTTGATAAATTTAAGAATAATTACAACAATGTGAAGTTTCTTTTCCAACCACAATGGAATGAAATTAGAGATCAATAACAAAAGAAAAATGTAAAATATTATAAACATGGAGATCAAACAAGACACCTTTCAGCAACCAATAGATCAAAGAGGAAATCAATAGAAAAATTAGAAAACATCTTGAAAAGTGTGAAAGTAAATATATCAAAATTGATAGAAATTAGCAAATAAAGTACTAAGAGGAATATTTTTACTGGTAAATGCCTACATTAAAAAAAGAAATAACACAAATAAAAGACCTAATATTTCACTTCCGGAAATTAGAAAAGGAAGCACAATCTGATCCCAGAACTAGAAGAAAGAAAGGAAATAAAGATTAGAGTAACAATAATGAAATAAATAAATCTAAAAATAGGGGAAAAATCAATGAAATTAAGAGTTTGTTTCTAAGATAAACAAAACTGGCAAACACTTAGCTAAACTAAAAGAAAAAACAGAAAACAAAAATAAATAAAATAATAAATGGAAGAGATATATTACAAAGAGATCATAAACAATAGATTATAAAAAATATGACAAATAGATCATAGACACACAAATCATAAATGATATTACCAAAAACTACACACCAAAATATTGAACAACTGGGAAAAAGTGAATAAATTTCTAGAAGCATACAACATACCAAGACTCACTTGGGAAGCCTGAACAGACCAATACAAAATGAGGAAATTTAATCAGAGATTAAAAAGTTCTAAACAAAGAAGAATCCAGGGCCAGATGATTTCATGGATGAATTCTCTCAAACATTTAGAGAAGAATTAATACCAGCCCTTCTTAAACTTTTCCCGAAATAGAAGAGGGACTCTTTCTAAGCTGTTTTAATGAGGCTAGCATCCCCCTGATATAAAGCCAGACAAAGATATCACAAGAAAATGAATCTATAGTGCCGGTCACAGTGGCTCATGCCTGTAATTCCAGTACTTTGGGAGGCCGAGGCAGGCAGATCATCTGAGGTCGGGAGTTTGAGATCAGCCTGGCCAAGATGGAGAGACCCCGTCTCTACTAAAAATACAAAATTAGCCAGGTGTGGTGGAACATGCCTGTAATCCCAGCTACTCGGGAGGCTGAGAAAGGAGAATCACCTGAACCTGGGAGGTGGAGGTTGCGATGAGCTGAGATCGTGCCATTGTACTCCAGCCTGGGCAGCAAGAGTGAAACTCCACCTCAAAAAAAAAAAAAAAAAAAAAAAAAAAGGAAGAAGAAGAAGAGGAGGAAGAGGAAGGAGGAGGAGGAGGAGGAGGAGAAGGAGAAGAAAAAAAAACAATCTATAGTCAAATATCCTTGAAGAACATTGATGCCAAAATCTTCAATAAAGTACTAGCAACCACATTCAACAAGGTATTAATGCAATCACACACCATGATAAAGTGGGATGCAAGGATGATTCAACATATGCAAATCAATCAATGAGATACACCACATGAGCAGAATAAAAGATGAAAATCATATGATCATTTAAATAGATGCAGAAAAACCATTTGACAAATTCTACATCCTTTCATGATAAAAACTCTCAACAAAATAGGTATATCTTGTAATGCTTCTGCTAACATAATATTCAATGATAAAAAAAACTGAAAGTGTTTTCTGTAAGATCTGGAGCAAGGCAAACATGTCCACTTGCCATTTCTATTCACCATGGTAATAGAAATTCTATCCAAAGGATCAAGCAAGGGAAAGAAATAAAAGTCATTCAAATAGAAAAGGAAAAAGGAAAATTATCTATGTTTGCAGACTGCACAATCTTATAGATCAGGTAGAAAACTCCAAAGACTTCACAAAAGAACTGTTATAACTGGTAAATGAATGCAGACATGCTGCAGAATGCAAACTCAGTATACAAAAAGGCAATTGCATTTCTATACACTAGGAATTAATTACCTAAAAATGAAATTAAGAAAACATTTACAATACCACCAAAAAGATAAAAAATACTTAGAAATAAACTAAACTGAGGAGGTGAAAAATCTGTATACTGAAAACTATTAAACATTGACAAATTAGTGTAGACAGAAATAGATGGAAAAACATGTTGTGTTCATGGATTGGAAGAATTGATATTGATTTTTTTGTCATTTTGATAATAGCCATTCTCACATGTATGAGATGATAACTCATTGTGATTTTGGTTTGCATTTCATTGATTGTTAGTGATGTTGAACACCTTTTCATATACCTGCTGGCCATTTATATGTCTTCTTTAAACAAATGTCTATTCAGTTTCTTTGCCCATATTTAAATTGGATTACTTGTTTGTTATTGAGTTGTAGGCTATTTTGAATACTAACTCCTTATCAGATATTTGTTTGCAAATATTTTATCTGTGCACCATTGGTTGGGATGTAAACTGGTGCAACCATTATAGAAAGCAGTATGGGGATTCCTCAAAAAAATAAAAAATATAACTACTAAGTGAAACAGCAATGTCAATACTTAGTACATATGCAAAGGAAATGAAATCGCGATCTCAGATCCCACATTTGGTGCAGCATTAGTCAGAATAACTAAAATACACAAATAAACCAAATATTTATCAAAGAATGGATAAAGAAAAAAAAGGAAATCCTGACATTTGCAACAACATGAATAAACCTGCTTAGACATCATACTAAATGAAATAAGCCAGACACAGCAAGACAAATAATGTATTATCTGACTTATATGTGGAATATAAAATAGTCCAACTCGCAGGCGCTGAGAATGGAACCATGGTTGTGGGGCTTGGAGGAAGGGAGAAATGTCAAAATGTAGAAATGTTGGCCCAGGGATACACAATTTCAGTTATATAAGATGAATAATGCCTGGTGAATTAATGTACAACAATGTGAATACGGCTTAAAAATTTGTATTGTACATTTTTAAACTTTGTTAAGAAAATAAATCTTATATTACATATTGTTATCACCAAAAATAAAGAGGGTAGGAGAAATTCCTTGGAGATACAAAATTTTCTGGCATAAATTTTGGTGATAGTTTCATGGATATATTCTTATTTCCCAACTCATCAAGTTGTATTCATTAAATGTGTATGTATTGTTACAAAATATATTTAAGTTTGTTTTTTAAAGATAAAGGGGAATATGATAAACTGATATTGTTTGATATAGTTTGATATTGATATGACATACAATATGATGAAACAAATAGATAAACCTCACCTACAGACTCTAAGTGTTACAACATTTATTAGGTGTGTAAAACAGCATGTTTGCGTTTGCAAAACCTCTTGAGAAAATATTATAAGAAAACAAAGACAAGCAAGGTTTGGAATTTGAAGCTGGATTCTAACAGACCAGTCAAAAAAGGGGGTGAGATATTGGGTCAACAATTAGTCAGGAGACTATACCTTACAAGATAAATGACCTACAAGAAAATTCTAATGGGAGTGTGGCCACTAAGTTAATGATTAGTCTGTGTTGGAATAAAGTGAAAGAAACAAAATACTTCTGGGACTTGAGACCTCAGAATTGCTGTTCATTTTTTGAGAAACAAAAATCTAAACATGATTATGCGAATGCATAAACTTTACAAAATTCTGTGGAAAGAATTGGACATCATAACCAGTCTGAATTTCAAAGCTGAAGTCAATTATCCCTTATAATTCATTTACTATTTTACTCACACATTGAAACAGTTTTTAGATCTTGTGTTCTTACCATATAAATAATAATTATAACAATAATAATAAAGAGGGCAGAAGGAAACTTATGGAAGTGATGGACTTGCTTATGACATTGATTATGGTGATTTGTTGGGTGTATAATTATCTCCAAACTCATCAAGTTGTATAAATTAAATATGTACAGCTCTTACACACCTCAATAAAGTGGCTTAAAAATTAAGATTTCAAACAGAAACACACATTCACAAATTATTTGATTCAGTAGTTGTGTATTTATTGTCTAATATATTCAAAACACTGTGCTAGGCACAGCAATTGGTAAGATGTCATGATCTCTACTCTCACAAGGCTTACAACCTACTAGGAGAAATAGACTTGAATCATTTGCAAAATGAAATATACAAATAAATTTTAAAGTTATAACAAGATGAAGATGGTGCTAATATTGTAAAAATATTCTAAGGACTCAGAAAAGACTTTTCTGATAAGGTGCCCATAAGACTGAAATCTTCCTACTCCTCTCCTTCCCATTCCTCTCCTTTCTCTTATTCCCATTTGTGAAAATTGAACTTGCTAACTTTTTAACTGAGAAAATAATTAATCAGAGGATAACTTCTACAAACTATTTTCGTGTGAGCATATCTACCAAGCTCTATACATGTATCTTTGCTTTCCCGTTGCTAGCGATGAACAATGAGAGGGCTTCAAAAAGCTCATGGAAAACGTGTATTATGAAAAAGCAATGCAAGGGTTCTAAATGTTTTACACCAAGATAAACTCATACTAAGTTGTTATAACATGTCTGAATAGGGTCTAGGTTGAGGCATTAAGAAGGGTAAGATAGCAGTTTGAACAGACCCCCTATCAGAGCAATATGAATTCTGCTAAAATTGAAGCAAGAACAAACATCAAATTTATGACGAAGCTTGGGTGGAAAAGTGGTGAAATCAATGATGCCTTATAAAATGTTTCAGGTGAAAATACCTTAAAGAAATAATTAGTTTACAAATGAAAGGCTCATTTTAAGAAGGGACAAAGAATATTGAGGTTGAAGCCTGTGGCAGCAGACCATTCACATCAATTTGTGAGAAAAAAAAATTCATCTTGTTCATTTCCTAATTGAAAAGGACCAACTATTAGCAGCAGAAAAAATAGCCAACATCATAGACGTCTCAATTCAGTTTACGTAATTCTGACTGAAAAACTATAGCTGAGCACATTTTCCACTTGATAGGTGCCAAAACTCTTATGCCACATGAGCTGCAGACACAGTAAGAACTATCAGGGGAAAATTTTAAAAATTGGATCAACATCCTGAAGCATTTCTCTAAAGAAATGTAACAAGAGATGAAACATGGCTTTACCAGTACGTTCCTGAAGACAAAGCACAATCAAAGCAATGGCTACCAGGAGGTGGAAGTGTTTCAGTCAAAGCAAAAGCAGATCTGCAAAAGGCATAAGTCATGGCAAAAGTTTTTTTAGGATGCTCAAGGAATTTTGATTGTTGACTTTCTGGATGGCCATAAGAATGATAATATCTTCTTTATTAGAGTATGTTTTGAGTAAGTTGGCCAAAGCTTTATCAGAAAAATGTCCTGGAAACCTTCACTAGAGACTCCTTCTCCATCATGACAACGTTCCTGCTCATTCCTCTCATCAAACAAGCACAATTTTGTGAGAATTTTTATGGGAAATCAACATGCATCTATCTATCTTATAGTCATGATTTGGTTTATATTAACTTCTTTTTGTTTCCTAGTCTTAAAAAAAATTAAAGATATCTTTTTTTAATGTTAATAATGTAAAAAAGAATGCATTGACATGGTTAAGTTCCCAGGACCCTCAGTTCTTTAGGGATGGACTAAATGGCTGCAGAAGCAGTGGTGTTTTAAGAAACAAAACAAGGAATTCTAATATATCCTTTCTTACTCATGTTACCTGACATGAATAATATGATTTTGATATGAATAATATTCATATCACTGCTTACAAAAGTGTGCTGACCTTGATGGAGGTTATGTTGTGAAATAAAGTTTATTATTTTTATTTTTATCTTGTAATCCCATTTTTATGTAATTTTGTAGTCTTATCATATTTATTCTCCTTTCAAAGGCTAAATCTACCACTTTGTGAAGTAGATTATATTTATTTTTGACCAACAAAAACCATCACATAAGCACAATTTTTTCCCACTGAATCTCCAAAATTTTACTTTCCTCCAGGATTAAACCCATCATAATAATCTCATGCTATTTATTTTGCTATTGTTAATTTGTTTTTATTAGAATAGAAGAAACACTACACAAAACAACTCATCTCTTTTTAATTACTTCTTGCTCTACAACATATTTTACTAATTCTGTCTTCAGTTCACTGAGGAGTAAGGAAGGACTAAATGGAGAGGAAATGCGGATGTCCCATCTTTCCCATTCTTCCTATCTCATGATTATCAGCATACATAGTTGGCTAATAGAGGAAAGTGACATGAGTAAGAAGGGATATAATATAATTCCTTGTTAGTTTTGTTTCTTGGAATACCACTGCTTCTGCGTTCAAAGCAAGTTTTTATTGGAAAGGAAAGCATAACCTCACAGGGCTTTCAGTGTCCTCATTTAGTCAATTATTGACATGTCGATATGGAATACGAGCACACATTCCAGTGCACCCATTATTTTTTGGAATTCAGCAAGACTCAAAGAGAGTACAAGGGTAGTGTGATATGGAAGCCAGTGTCTCTGAGTATCATTGAACTTCCACACATAGTACAACTACGGGAATTATGTGCGTATGGCTAATCTTGACAACTTTCTGTGAATGAAGTAGAAAGAAATGAAGGTAGGCAGGCATATTGTGCTTATCTCCTCTGATCATGGACATGATCCATTGTTCCAACAAATAATGGAAGATACAAGTCAGAAGTTAAAATTTTCATAAATTTAAAGATGGAAAAACAAAGCATGAAATCAAGTATAGGATCCTTATTAATGTGGAGCCATATGCAACTGCATATATTAAACACCCATGACATTAATTTAGCTGACCACTATATCCAGTTCATCAACAAACTTTGATGGTTCTACCTTTAAAATATATGTCTCCAAATGATATCCCTCCCCCTTCCCCCACCCCACAATAGGCCCTGGTGTGTGATGTTCCCCTTCCTGTGTCCATGTGTTCTCATTGTTCAATTCCCACCTATGAATGAGAACATACGGTGTTTGGTTTTTTTGTCCTTGTGACAGTTTGCTGAGAATGATGGTTTCCAGCTTCATCCATGTCCCTACAAAGGACATGAACTCATCATTTTTTATGGATGCATAGTATTCCATATATACATATGTAACTAAGCTGCACATTGTGCACATGTACCCTAAAACTTAAAGTATAATAAAAATAAAATAAAATATATTAAGAGCGTGGTTCCTTCTTATAAACTTTATTGAGACCACCATAGTCCAAGACATCATTATCTCTTGTCTGGATTATCCCTCTATCTAGTTAATTGGACTCCATAATTACAGTCCTGGCCCCTCACATCTTTTCTTCAATTATATGATCAAAACAACAGTGGAAATGATCTTTTTAAAATTAAAAACAGATCATATCAGCTTTTCACTCTAAACCTTTGAATGATTTGTCACCTCACTCAGAGTAAGATCTAAACTTTACAATACATTGAATGGCCCTTTATGAACTGCTACCTCCCTCACTCCCCACAATTTTGTCTGTGACCTCATCTGTTCTCCTGCCTTTGAATTACATTTATCTCCTTTTGCCTTCTTTCCTGCACCTTGAGCATGCTAAACATGCTCATGAGCTTTTGCCTCTACTGATCACAGACACTCATTCCTCAAAATAGTTTAATGACTTAACTGTTCACCTTCTTTAAATCTGTGCTCCAAAGTCACCTTCTCAGTTAAGTCTTTTCTATCTGTTCTATTTAAAATTATAACAACCTCGACTTTCAAACTTTACCTTCTAAATGTGTCTCTAAAATATTTACCACATTCTAGCATGCAAAAATTTACATATTTTATTGCAAAAATAATATAAACACTCTGTGGACAGCAATTTTATTCTGTTTGGGTAACTGTTATGTCGTTGGCATCAAGAATATTGGCTTTTATATTAATATTTACTGACTATTTACCGAGCTCTATTCATGGATAGACTTCTGATTGCTTTGAGGAAACTTAATTATAATCTGTGTACATGTAATAGAACATGAGTTTACCCACTAGACTTTGTAACATGCCTGCTTGAATAGGGGAACTTAAAACTAAGAGTATGTTAGAAAGCACACAAAATTTGTGTAAGCCAACAACAACTACTCTAAGCTTTGTGGATAAGAGAATTATTTTTGATTGGACCCATTCATATACCCTCTAAAATAAAGTTTATTGAAAGTCACAAACAAAAATCAATTTTTCAGGAAAGAGTTTCTACTCTCAACCTATGTAAAAGACATCATAATAATATATTCCATTCTGGTACATATATTCATATTTATTTATCCTTAAACATGTACCATACAGCTTGTTACCATCAAGTTTATGTGAAATTTTAAACCCCTACAAAATAATAAAGAAAGAATCTTAGTGGACATTATACCTAAAATTAATTCCAGGTTATCATATCTGTTCATTAAAATTACATTTTGACATGAAAAACATTCATAAGCAGGTTTCAAAATTTTATGTGCAACATAATGCTTTTTGTAAATGTATATAGATTTTCTCTATTCATACATCTTTATTGCATATTAGTCAAACAATGGACAAACATGATTTATAAATGACATATCTTTTAATTTCCCCACATGACACAAGAAAGTATATAAATATAATGAGACAGGAGACCTGAATGTTTACAGGCAACATTTGCAAAACTACTGGTTGGGAAGGATTCTCTATTACACTACAAAATATTTTTAATTTTAATGTTTACTTTTTTTAACTCATATTTTATGTTCACAGGAACATATGCAGGTTTGTTATAGGTAAATTGTGTGTCATGGGGGTTTGGATGTCCAGATTATTTCATCACAAACTAATAAGCCCAGTACCCAATGCTCCTTCCTCCCACCTTCCACTCTCAAGTGGACCCCAATATCTGTTGTTCCCTGCTTTGCATCCATGTGTTCTGAATGTTTAGCTCTGCTTGTAAGGGAGAACGTACTATTTTTGGTTTTCTGTTCATGTATTAGTTCACTTAGGATAATGACCTCCAGCTTCATTCACGTTGCTGCAAAGAACATGATCTCATTCTTTCTAAGGCTGCATAGTATTCCATGGCACATATCTACTACATTTTCTTTATCCAGTCTACAACTGATGGGGATTTAGATTGAGTCCATGTCTTTGTTGTTGTGGATATTTCTGCGATGAACATACATGTACATGTGTCTTTATGGCAGAATGTTTTATATTCCTTTGAGTATATACCCAGTAATGGGATTTCTGGATCAAATGGTAATTCTGTTTTAAGTTCTTTGAAAAATCACCACCCTCCTTTCACAATGATTAATTTATACTCCCACCAACAATGTACAAACTTTCTCCTTTCTCCACAACCTTGCCAGTATCTGTTTTTTTTTTTTCTTTTGACTTTTTAATAATAGCCATTCTGCCTGGTGTGAAATAGTATCTCACTGTGGTTTTGATTTGCATTTCTCTAATGACCTGTGATATAAAACATTTTCTCATATGCTTGTTGGCTGCATGTATGTCTTTTGAAAAGTTTTCTGTTCATGTCCTTTGCCTACTTTTTAATGGGGTCGTCTTCTGCTTCTGAATCCATTCCTTATAGATTCTGGATATTATAATTTTGTCAAATGCTTAGTTTGCAAATATTTCCTCCCATTCTGTAAGTCCTCTGTTAAATCTGTTGATAGTTTCTTTTACTGTACAGAAACTCTTTAGTTTGATAAGATCCCATATGTCAATATTTGCTTTTGTGGCAATTGCTTTTGGCAACTTCTTCATGAAATCTTTGCCAGAGGCTGTGGCCAGAATGGTATTTCCTAATTTATATTCCAGAATTTTTATAGTTTTGGGTTTTACATTTAAGTCTTTAGTCCATCTTGAGTCATTTTTTGTATATGGTGTAAGGAAGACACCCAGTTTCAATCTCCTGCATGTGGCTAGCCAGTTTTCCCAGCACCATTTATTAAATAGGACGTCTTTTCCTCATTGCTTGTTTTTGTTGACTTTGACAAAGATTAAATGGTCGCAGGTGTGTAGTATTATTATCTGGGTTCTCTATACTGTCTCATTCCTCTATGTCTCTGTTTATGTACCAGTACTATGTTGTTTTGGTTACTGTAAACTTGTAGTATAGTTTTAATTTGGGAATGCTTCAGCTCTGTTCTTTTTGCTAAGTATGGCATTGGATATTCAGGATATTTTTTTGTTTCCATATGAATTTAGACCGTTTTCATATGAGTTTTAGAAAGTTGTATTTTCTAATTCTGTGACAAAATGTGGCATTGGTAGTTTAATAGGGATAACATTGAATCTATAAATTGCTTTTGACAGTATAGCCATTCTTTTTCTTAACTTTTATTTTAGGTTCGGAGATATATGTTTAGGTTTATTGAATATGTAAACTCGTGTCATGGGATTTGTTGTACAGATTATTTCATCACCCAGGAATTAAGCCCAGTACCCAACAGTTAACTTTTCTGCTCCTCTCCCTCCTCCCACCTCCACCCTCAACAAGACCCCAATGTCTCTTGTTTCCTTCTTTGTGTTCATAAGTTCTCATCATTCACCTCCCACTTATAAGTGAGAACATACCATATTTGGTTTTCTATTCCAGCATTAGTTTGCTGAGGATAATAGCCTCCAGCTCCATCCATGTTCTCACAAAACACATGATCTCATTCATTTTGTATGACTGCATAGTGTCCCATCGTGTATATGGATCATATTTGCTTTATGCAATCTGTCATTGATGGGCATTTAGGTTGATTCCATGTCTTTTCTACTATGAATAGTGTTTCAGTGAACATTCGCCTGTAAGTGTCTTTATGGTAGAAAGATTTATGTTTCTCTGGGTATATACCCAGTAATGGATTGCTGCGTTGAATTGTAGTTCCGCTTATAGCTCTTTGAGGAATTGCTATACTGCTTTCCAGAATAGTTAAACTAATTTACACTCCCACCATCAGGGTATAAGTGTTCCCTTTTGTCAGTAACCTCACCATCATCTGTTTTTTTTTTTTTTTTGACTTTTTAGTAATAGCCATTCTGACTGGTGTGAGATGGTATCTCATTGTAGTTTTGACTTGTATTTCTCCAATGATCAGTGATATTGAGTCTTTTGTTCATATGCTTCTTGGCCACATGTATGTCTTCTTTTGAAAAGTGTTCATGTCCTTTGCCCACTTTTTAATGGGTTCTTTTTCTCTTGTACATTTGTTTAAGTTCCTTATAGATGCTGGATATTAGACCTTTCTCAGATGAATAGTTTGCAAATTTTTTCTTGCATTTTGTAGGCTGTCTGTTCACTCTGCTGAGAGCTTCTCTTGCTGTGCAGAAGCTCTTAAGTTTAGTTAGATCTCATTTATCAATTTTTACTTTCATTGTGATTGCTTCAACTGTCTTTGTCATGAAACTTTTGCCCATTCCCATGTTTCAGATGGTATTGACTAGGTTGTCTTCCAGAGATTTTATAGTTTTGCATTTTACATTTAGGTCTTTAATCCTTCTTGAGTTGGTTTCTGTATATGGTATAAGAAAAGATCCAGCTTTGGTCTTCTGCATATGGCTAGCCAGTTATCCCAACACCATTTATTGAATAGGAAGTCTTTTACCCATTGCTTCTTTCTGTAGGCATTGTAGAAGATCAGGTGGTTGTAGGTTTGTGATCTTATTTCTGGGCTCTCTATTTTGTTCCATTGTTCTATGTGCCTGTTTTTGTACTAGTACCATGCTGTTTTGGTTACTGTAGCCCTGCAGTGTAGTTTGAAGTTGGGTAATGTAATGCCTCCAGCTTTGTTCTTTGTGCTTACAATTGCAAATTCAGGCTTTTTTTATGTTCCATATGAATTTTTATTTTTTTATTTTATTTTTTTTTAGTTCTGTGAAGTATGTCATTGGTAGTTTGATAGGAATAGCATTGAAGCTATAAAATTGCTTTGAGCAGTATGGCCATTTTAATGATATTGACTCTTGTTATCCATGAGCATGAGATTTTTTTTCCACTTGTTTGTGTCTTCTCTGATTTCTTTAAATAGTGTTTTGTAATTTTCATTGTAGAGATCTTTCACTTCCTTGGTTAGCTGTATTCCTAGGCATTTTATTCTTTTTGTGACAATTGTAAATGAGATTGCCTTTCTGGTTTGGCTCTGAGCTTGACTGTTGTTGATGTGTAGGAATGCTAGTGATATTTGTACATACGTCTACTGTGACCAGCCTGTGAATAGTAACAATAAAAATAGCCCACCTAGTGCCCAGACTATAAATCCCACAAGTATAAAAATGTCAAAAGACACTGAAACTAGCTTGAGGTAGTTCCCAGTGACACTTTTAATTATCAAATTAAAATTGGAAATTTTGATAATTAAAATACAAAATAATAGACATGGATTGCAATTCATTAAATGAAATAGAAATTCATGAATCCATAGCTATGTAATAAAATAAAACAATATATAAATGAAAAAGCTCTAAACCAGAATGGCAATAAATACATAAACAAGAAAGAGTGAAATTTTTAAATCACCATTTGTTAACTATCAAAGTAATAATGAATGCAAGAAGCTCCAATAGATAACAAAATACATGGTAAGTGTTTGATAAGGAACAAGATATTTACAATGTATCTCACCATTAAACACTTATTAAATGGGAAATGTAGTGATTTTTAATAAAGAAATCTGGCAGATATCACTTTATATAAAGTGATACAATGTAGCTTTACCAGTGATGGGATAAATTGAATAAGACACATAAAAAATACAGGACTACTTGTATGATATTTTTACCAAAAATTCATAAATTGAGTTCATGTGTGAAAAAATATATAAGGTCATTTAAATTGATAGACATTTTATAAAATAACAGACCTGTAATCTTCAAACATGTCAAGATTACAAAAGTCACAGAATAACTTAAAAAATCTTGCCCACTGAAATAAACGAAACAGACATGACAAATAGACATTTTTGGGATGTAGGCAAGACAATTTTCCATGAGTCTTTTACATTTTTGCACATCCCATTCACAGAGGTACTGACAGAATTTGTTCTGCCATATGTTTTCAAGGATGGTTGTATAACAAAAGGCTTGGTAGATATGATTTTATTTATTTATTTTTTCTTTGAGATGGGAGTTTCGCTCTTGTTGCCCAGGCTGGAATGCAGCCGCAGTATCTCAGCTTACTGCAACCTCCGCCTTCTGGTTTCAAACGATTCCCCTTCCTCAGCCTCCCAAGTAGCTAGGACTAAAGGCACCTGCCACCTCGCCTAGCTAATGTTTGTATTTTTAGTAGAGACGGGGTTTCACCGTGTTAGCCTGGATGGTCTCAAACTCTTGACCTCGTGATCCACCCGCCTAGGCCTCCCAAAGGGCTGGGATTACAGGCATGAGCCACCGCGCCCGGCCAGGTTCAGGTTTTTTAATCTGCAGTACAGATTGTACTTTGTTTGTGTTGCATTCACCTAAACCACACCATATCACCTCCATGGGAACTGAGGAGCAAAGAATTTGAAACAAACATGTGATATGTTAACTTGTTAGCTTACAAATAAGGTAAAACCCGAGAAAGCCTAGACAGAGATAACTGGCAACAACTGAATATGTCTGAGGAGTAGATGGTAATAATGTATCTACATTAATTTCCTGATTTTGATAGTTACTATGATTGTGTTGTAGAAAGTCCTTTTGTATAGGAACTATAAAATAAATCATATGGTGATGACAAGCACCACATTAATTAATTATCTCCAAATGTCAGGAAAAAAATGTTAACGGTATTTTACTTGTTATTTTCCCATGTTTGAAATTATTTCATAATTAAAAATATATATTGAAAATGAAAATAGGCCAGGCACGGCGGCTCTCGCCTGTAATCCCAGCACTTTGGGAGGCCGAGGTGGGTGAACCACAAGGTCAGGAGATCGAGACCATCCTGGCTAACATGGTGAAACCCCGTCTCTACTAAAAATACAAAAAATTAGCCGGGCATTGTGGCGGGCGCCTGTAGTCCCAGCTACTCGGGAGGCTGAGGCAGCAGAATGGTGTGAACCCAGGAGGCAGAGCTTGCAGTGAGCCGAGATCGCGCCACTGCACTTCATCCTGGGCAACAGAGCGAGACTCCGTCTCAAAAACAAACAAACAAATGAACAACAAAAAAAGGACATGAAAATAACAAACAAATAAAATGGATGCAAAAAGGGCACAAATATTAAGAGAGTCAGATGAGATCCAATATAGTTGTATTTCAATCAAGAAAAAGCAATAGCAAGAGTGCAGAACTACTCAAAAGCTACACATAAATCAACTTTCATGAAAGAGAAAAATTATGTTAAAATTATATACTATAAGCTTTAAAATACAGTGAAAAAGCACATTGTATACCTAAGAATATTGAAGAAAACTTACAAAAACCAAGAAATGTTCTAGTAAATATATTAAATTGTAAAAAAGAGTAATTATTTGGGTATTTGGAAAAACAGAGACTTTCAAGAGGAAAAAATTGTGACTACCATCACAAATTTTCTTTTTACTTTTAGAGTAATCATTTTCCTTTTTTTTATATTTTAACAAAAATGTTTGGCATGTAAGAATAAAATGGTAAAAGCATTCAAGATAGTCAAGAAAATATGAGGCAAGAAATAGAGATATATTTTTAAGTATAAAAGTCACTGACAGACTGCTATCAGCATAAATATAGAATAATTCAAATATTACTGCTCTTATCAAAACTTCCTGAAGAATATACTTAAGAACAAATTTCAAAAAGTCAAAATGACCAGAGAAACATTGACATAAGAACAAGTAGTGGGCATTAAACATATGTTTACCAGTAAATTTAGAAAAAAGGAAGGTTAAAAGTATATAGTGGTATATAGTGTGTAATAAGCGTATGTTCAGACAATGAAGTATGAAAAACTTTTTTTTTATTATCATTGTTATTATACTTTAAGTTTCAGGGTACATGTGCACAACGTGCAGGTTTGTTACATACGTATACATGTGCCATGTTGGTGTGCTGCACCCATTAACTCGTCATTTAGCATTAGGTATATCTCCTAAAGCTCTCTCTCCCACCTCCACCCACCCCACAACAGTCTCCGGTGTGTGATGTTCCCCTTCCTGTGTCCATGTGTTCTCATTGTTCAATTCCCACCTATGAGTGAGAACATGCAGTGTTTGGTTTTTTGTCCTTGAGATAGTTTGCTGAGAATGATAGTTTCCAGGTTCATCCATGTTCCCACAAAGGACATGAACTCATCATTTTTTATGGCTGCATAGTATTCCATGGTGTATATGTGCCACATTTTCTTAATATAGTCTATCATTGTTGGACATTTGGGTTGGTTCCAAGTCTTTGCTATTGTGAGTAGTGCCGCAAAAAACATATGTGTGCACGTGTCTTTATAGCAGCATGATTTATAATCCTTTGGGTATATACCCAGTAATGGGATGGCTGGGTCAAATGGTATTTCTAGTTCTAGATCCCTGAGGAATTGCCACACCAACTTCCACAATGGTTGAACTAGTTGACAGTCCCACCAACAGTGTCAAAGTGTTCCTATTTCTCCACATCCTCTCCAGCACCTGCTGTTTCCTGACTTTTTAATGATTGCCATTCTAACTGGTGTGAGATGGTATCTGATTGTGGTTTTGATTTGCATTTCTCTGATGGCCAGTGATGATGAGCATTTTTTCATGTGTTTTTTGGCTGCATAAATGTCTTCTTTTGAGAAGTGTCTGTTCATATCCTTTGCCCACTTTTTGATGGGGTTGTTTGTTTTTTTCTTGTAAATTTGTTTGAGTTCATTGTAGATCTGGATATGAGCCCTTTGTCAGATGAGTAGGTTGCAAACATTTTCTCCCATTCTGTAGGTTGCCTGTTCAGTCTGATGGTGGTTTCTTTTGCTGTGCAGAAGCTCTTTAGTTTAATTAGATCCCATTTGTCAATTTTGGCTTTTGTTGCCATTGCTTTTGGTGTTTTAGACATGAAAGTCCTTGCACATGCCTATATCCTGAATGGTATTGCTTAGGTTTTCTTCTACGGTTTTTATGGTTTTAGGTCTAACATGTAAGTCTTTAATCCATCTTGAATTAATTTTTGTATAAGGTATAAGGAAGGGATCCAGTTTCAGCTTTCTACATATGGCTAGCCAGTTTTCCCAGCACCATTTATTAAATAGGGAATCCTTTCCCCATTGCTTGTTTTTCTCAGGTTTGTCAAAGATCAGATAGTTGTAGATATGCGGCATTATTTCTGAGGGCTCTGTTCTGTTCCATTTGTCTATATCTCTGTTTTGGTACCAGTACTATGCTGTTTTGGTTACTGTAGCCTTGTAGTATAGTTTGAAGTCAGGTAGCATGATGCCTCCAGCTTTGTTCTTTTGGCTTAGGATTGACTTGGTGGTGCAGGCTCTTTTTTGGTTCCATATGAACTTTAAAGTAGATTTTTCCAATTCTGTGAAGAAAGTCATTTGTAGCTTGATGGGGATGGCATTGAATCTACAAATTACCTTGGGCAGTATGGCCATTTTCACGATATTGATTCTTCCTACCCATAAGCATGGAATGTTCTTCCATTTGTTTGTATTCTCTTTTATTTCATTGAGCAGTGGTTTGTAGTTCTCCTTGAAGAGGTCCTTCACATCCCTTGTAAGTTGGATTCCTAGGTATTTTATTCTCTTTGAAGCAATTGTGAATGGGAGTTCACTCATGATTTGGCTTTCTGTTTTTCTGTTATTGGTGTATAAGAATGCTTGTGATTTTTGCACATTGATTTTGTATCCTGAGACTTTGCTGAAGTTTCTTATCAGCTTAAGGAGATTTTGGGCTGAGACGATGGGGTTTTCTAGATATACAATCATGTCATCTGCAAACAGGGACAATCTGACTTCCTCTTTTCCTAATTGAATGCCCTTTATTCCCTTCTCCTGCCTGATTGCCCTGGCCAGAACTTCCAACACTACGTTGAATAGGAGTGGTGAGAGAGGGCGTCCCTGTCTTGTGCCAGTTTTCAAAGGGAATGCTTCCAGTTTTTGTCCATTCAGTATGATATTGGCTGTGGGTTTGTCATAGATAGCTGTTATTATTTTGAGATACATCCCATCAATACCTAATTTATTGAGAGTTTTTAGCATGAAGTGTTCTAGAATTTTGTCAAATGTCTTTTCTGCATCTGTTGAGATAATCATGTGTTTTTTGTCTTTGGTTCTGCTTATATGCTGGATTACGTTTATTGATTTTCGTATGTTAAACCAGCCTTGCATCCCAGGGATGAAGCCCACTTGATCATGGTGAATAAGCTTTTTGATGTGTTGCTGGATTCTGTTTGCCAGTATTTTATTGAGGATTTTTGCGTCAATGTTCATCAGGGATATTGGTCTAAAATTCTCTTTTTTGGTTGTGTCTCTGCCAGGCTTTGGTATCAGGATGATGCTGGCCTCATAAAATGAGTTAGGGAGGATTCCCTCTTTTTCTATTGATTGGAATAGTTTCAGAAGGAATGGTACCAGCTCCTCCTTGTACCTCTGGTAGAATTTGGCTGTGAATCCATCTGGTCCTGGACTTTTTTTGGTTGTTAGGCTATTAATTATTGCCTCAATTTCAGAGCCTGTTATTGGTCTATTCAGAGATTCAACTTCTTCCTGGTTTAGTCTTGGGAGCATGCATGTGTCGAGGAATTTATCCATTTCTTCTAGATTTTAACTATTTTTTAAATTGTGTAGAGAATAGATATTATAACCAATAGATATTATAACCAAAAATATTATAACTATTTTAAGCATATTGCTCATCATAGCATTAGTATTGTTCAACTGAGATGTTGTGTGCTTAATGTGGATAAAACAAATACATAGTTACAGGATTTTGAGTTCTTCCTGTGTTAGTGAGAACCAGGCTTATTGCATAGAAAAAGAAGAAAATAAAGATCTCTCTCTCTCTCTCCCGCATTCTCTCTTTCTTTCTTTCTCTCACACACATCCTAACTCTGTCCTTAGCAAATAACTGAAATTTTGAGAGGCCGAGGTGGGCAGATCACGAGGTCAGGAGTTTGAGACCAGACTGGCCAACATAGTGAATCTCCGTGTCTACTAAAAATGCCACAATTAGCCAGGCATCATGGGGCGCACCTATAATCCCAGCTACTCAGGAGGTTGAGGCAGGAGAATCGCTTGAATCCGGGAGGCAGAGTTTGCAGTGAGCTGAGATCGCACCACTGCACTTCAGTCTGGGTAACAGAGTGAGACTCTGTCCCCCCTCAAAATAAAAAAGGAACTGAAATCGATGAGTAGCCCATTACTAATGAGCATCCATACCATTCAGGTTACAGCCTTGAAACACCACTGCCTACTACAGAGAGTAGGACTTACTGGAAAAACAGCTCTTTGCAAGTTGTGGCAGGAAATACCCAAGATGGGCTAAAACTTCTTATTCTAGGTATTAAAAAAGTTACCAAAACACTAGGATTATGCCTTGTAATAATTTGTTATGTTATACATATGCGTTACGTGGGTGTTTTGTTTTTTGTTACTCAGTCATTTATCACAGCATAAAGGTAAAAATAAATTATAACAGATTATGGAAAAATTGGGTCATAGGGAGAAATAAAAGGTAAAAGTAAATTGGTTTATTAATTAGGTGCTAATTAAGAGCTATAAATAATGATACATAAGGTTTTTTATAATATCAAAATTTTAGCATAATGATTGTATGACTTTTTTAACAGCAACTTGAGTTAACTTAGATATGAACATAAACAGCAATTAAAATTAGTGCAAGAATCAAATTCAAAGCAATGATTGGAAGTTATTATATTGAAAGTAAGAAAGTAACATGATGACACAAAAATTCGCTGACATAAAATCTAAATAGATAAAATAGTTAATGATTTTTTAAAAAGTAAAAGTAAATTATAATTAATTTGTTAATCAAAATGAGTAATGCTAGTCATCAGTAAATGCCAGAAAAATACTATAATATTTATTATATGGGAAATAAATGAATTGGAAAAAATAGTGCAATTTAGTAAGCACAGTAATAAACTATAATTCATTAAAGAAAAATAAAGCCTGCAAAATAGTCAATAATTAAGAATCATAGTTAAAAATGGTAGTTAATTATAGGAAAATTGATCAAAAAGCAAATTGACAGTGTAAGTAAAACCATTGATAGAAATGCAGAATTTTAAACTTTTCTGGAGCCACCGTCAACCAAATCTCTGTACTATGCAATGGTGGCAATTAAACAAAGGTGTTTCTGACCTTTGTTTGGCCTCCTAATATACTTGCTGTTGAATAACTAATTAGTTTTGATTACGCTTAGGAAACAGAGATGAGAGGGAAAATATTACCTTATGTATTTTTTTCAATGAATGTGGGTATGTTTGAAAGGAGAGGCTCTTTCTTATCTGGTACTTTTAATTAAACACCTATAAACAAAGTAATCTTTAATTTATTTATTATTATTTCAATAGTTCTTGAAGAATTTGTGGTGTTTGGTAACATGGATAAATTATTTAAGTGTTATTTCTGAGATTTTGGTGAACCCATCACCTAAGATATGTACACTACACCCTCTGTGCAGTCTTTTATTCCTCACCCGCCTCCCACCCTTCCCCCAAAGTCTCCAGAGTCCATTACATGTTTCTTATGGCTTTGCATTGTCATAACCTAGCTCCAAGTCACATGTAGAAGAATGAAGCTGGATCCTTACCTCTCACCTCATACAAATATCAACTCAAGATGAATCAAAGACTTAAATCTAGAACCTGAAACCACACAAATTCTAGAAGATAACATCAGAAAAACTCTTCTAGACATTGGCTTACACAAAGAGTTTATTATCAAGAACCCAAAAGCAAATGAAATGAAAACAAACATAAATGGATGGGACTTAATTAAGCTAAAAAGCTTCTGCACAGCAAAACAAACACTCAGCAGAATAAACAGACAACCTAAAGAATGGAAGAAAATATTCACAAACCATGCACCTAACAAAGAACTAATATCCAGAATCTACAAGGAACTGAAACAAATCAGCAAAATAATAATGATAATAATAATAATAATCCCATCAAAGAAACTCAAATAAATCAGCAAGAAAAACAACAACAGCAAATAATCTTATCAAAAAGTGTGCAAAAGACGTGAATGGACAATTCTCAAAAGAAGACATACATGTGGCCAACAAACACATGAAAAGATGTTCAACATCTGTAATTATCAAGAAACTGAAAAATAAAACCACAATGCAATGCCACCTTACTCCTGTAAGAATGACCATCATTTAAAAATCAAAAAATAATAGATGTTAGCATGGTGTGGTAAAAAGGGAATACTTTTACACTCTTGGTGGGAATGTAAAGTAGTACAATCAGTATGAAAAACAGTATGGAGATTAAACTAAAAGAAGAACTACCATTTGATCTAGCAATCCCACTACTGGGTATCTACCCAGAGGAAAAAAAATCATTATATGAAAAAGACACTTACACGCGTATGTTTATAGCAGCACAATTTGCAATGTAAAAATATGCAATGAGCATAAATGACCACCAGCCAATGAGGAAATAAAGAAAATGTGATGTATGTGTTTGTGTGTGTGTATATATATTTATATTTACATTATATACATCATTTATATTCCATTATATATTACATACATTGTATTATATAATACATTATATATAATCATATACATTATATATATTTATATATATATTTCATTATATATATATAAATGGAATACTACTAGGCTATAAAAAGGAATGAAATAATCTCATTTGCAACAACCTAGATAGAGTTGGAGACTGTTATTCTACATGAAGTAACTCAGGAATGGAAGACCAAACATTGTAAATAATCATTTAGACAACGGTCTTGACATACATTTGTCTACATATATATGTAGACATATAAATGTGTAAAAGAGGAGAAATCAATGTGATTTACTAAAAGAAAGTCACTAGCTAAAAAGATGGAACAAGTAATGATGAACAAACTCAATGTAAATAGACTATAAACATATGAAAGATCCTAACAGTACATCAACATCATATAAATATAAATAATGGACTGAAAGTATTATTTCTAATAAAGAATAAGACTTAATAAAACTTTGTCAGTTTTAATCAGTTAAAATATTAACATGTTAACCCTGAAAATGCCAAATATCTGAATTAATTGAATCACATAAATGTACACTCAGAAGGACATTTCAATCATGCTGAACTTTTACCTTTAAATATAATAAAAGCAAACAGGGCAAAAAAAGAATATAGTATATAATATAGTCCTTCTTTGTTATAGTAATTACATGTTAATTAAATGAGAATCAGTGTAATGATCTGTATATAATCTCTGTTCTTTCTTTGTTAATCTGACGTTGACACTTGAACATATCGGTGGTGGTATAGTTTGGATATTTATCCTCTCCGAATCTCATGTTGAAATTTGATCCCCAGTGCTGGAGATGGGCCTGGTGAAATGTGTTAAGGTCATGGGGCAGATTCCTCATGAATGGCTTGGTACCATTGTTGAGAGATTGAGTGAATTCTCACTCTCAGTTCCTATGACAAATGGTTGTTAAAAAGAACCTGGCACTTCCCTCCCCTGTCTCTTGATTCTCTCTTGTCACGTGATCTGCACATGCTGGCTCCCCCTCCCCTTCAGCCAGGAGTGGAAGCTTCCTGAGCCCCTCACCAGAAGCAGATGTTCATGCCATGCTTCTGGTACAGCCTGCAGAACCATGAGCTGAATAAACCTCTTTTCCTTATAAATTGCCCATCCTTAGATATTCCTTAATAGCAACGTGAAACAAACACAAGCAGTGTCAGGTCCTAAAGATGATCAAACCACCTTAGCTCACTGAAGTTAAGAGACTGAAATAGTTGCAGCAGGATCTGTTTCTGTAAAATACAACATAAGATGATTACATGTTATCTGAGTCCTTACTTAAAATCATTCTCATTAAAATTAAAAACTCTCTATGTAATATTAAAATCCTTCCATTTTTATAACCTAATTTTGGACCCATAAAATATTAAATTATACTTAAATATCCCATATTAAATACTTGGAATGACTTTAAGAGGGAATAATATTAAATTAATATTATTATACTATATTTTATCTTTATACTTTAATACTATAATATTGATAACATAGATTATATAATGCTTTATGATTTACAATTCTTATTTAATTACCTCAAAATCCTTGTAAAAAATAGGACCTATTTCTTTATTTTATATATAAAGAAACTGAACATTATTGGAACTGAAATAGTTTACCAAGTGAGTGCAGATTCATTTCTTCCATATTTTTGTTTCCTTCTAAGTTTTTTGTTCAATTCACTTGAGAATACTTCCTATAAGATGCTTTCCATTTCGATAATATAAGTTTATGGCAAATGAAATTTATTATATATTAATAATTTTTCTCATAACTGTTTTGTAATGAAATTATATTTTTAATTTATAAATAATTATATTGTCAATTGCTATTTTGTTCTTTCACTCAGTGAAAGGGACATTAAAGTCCAGTCTGAATATGAATGAGAGCTTGATTTTGATCCTCAATGTAAGAATTCTGTGGCTAAAGACAATCATGTCAGGGTGAATTAAAGATTGGTTGCAGATGGTTAAGTGATATCACTCTTTCATTACTTCCATAATTGCCCATGATTCATATTCTCTTCATCAGACATTAATAAATTGGTGAGAACCAAGTAAAGCATATTTCAAGCTGGCTATTCTGCTTCCTCTTATTCCCTGGAGTTTGACTTCCTTTATTACATAAAAAGGAGGACATAGCCCAAGAAGGGCATATTCAAAAAGAGGATATTGGGGAAACTCAAACTCACAGTATTTGTAATCTTGTGGGTTTATTTTCTTATAATGTTTAACATGAACAGAAATTAGAATTTTTTGAAAAAATTCATGGAATAAAGTGCCACATCATTATAAAAATACCAGGAAAAAAATCGTTTGAGTTAGGGATTAAAAAATTAGAAGTAATTTAAAAACAATGGGATTTCAAATGTCTCAGAAAATAGAATTTCATGGTTTCGGATTAGTATTTGAAAATTAAGGAGCTATATTTAGTTGCCATGACAAAATAGTTGTGATTATCTAAAGATGAAATGAGGAAGCTTTCTAGGTTTGTTTCCTTATCTCAAAGTAAAACATCTGAATAAGGTGATCTCTAACAATCTTCCAGTTTTACTATTTCAGTGTTATCTTTTAGATATTGACACCTTACTGCATTTATAAAAACTACCCCGAATAGTTCTTAATGGTGTGTATAACATGAGTTGACCGACCCCCACATATCTGCTTACCACCTTCCATTATGTATAATTCTCACTCTTTACTTTCATCTGTGATGAACTTTCTTAAAGACAAAATGAATTTAAACAACCTAACACCTTCCCTGATGCCGGCCCCAAACTCATTATCCATGCCTCTCTTAGGGTAATGTATCTTTTTTTTATGATTTATTATGTTTCTTTAGGCATTAATTTATTTTCTTTCTAGACAATCGGTCTTGTTTATAAAAATTTGATTTGGGTATGGGGGCTATCTTCTGCATTAAAATCCTTTGAGGTATTAAAACGAAAATTCCTGGAACTGGTCCAGAACTACTGGACAACTTGCAATTACCTTCTCTACAATATGCTAAAGTATATTCTTACAGACACTTAGTGTTATAGATCCCCTGCTATAAGTTCTTTTACTTACTCTTGTCTTTTCCACCTCCTCTCTTATATCAATTATGACCAATACACAGACTCAGCCTGACAAATTTTCTGATCTAATCTTGAATATGTTTTCAGATTATCAGTATCGTCTGACTGATAGGGTAGATTGCTGTCAGCCTTGTTGTTATACATTTTGCTCCCTGGGGACTATTTTCTGAGTGCTTTCCACTGTCTCTTTATGTCTTTATTAGAATATTTTTTTTCAAAGTAGACCACCAAATGGAAACACAAATTTTTACCTGTTTAACGCTATGGTCGAGGGTACCTTATTGCATGTTTTATCCAACAAGCTGCACTATCTTAGATTTTTGAAGATAGCCTGAATCAAGCCCAAATGAGTCACTTCCTTTTGTTTATTCAAATTGGAACTCATTTTCACCCAGTGCATAGGTCAGCCCTGTGCCTAAGATTCTTTCCTCGGAGGCCCTGTAGTTATTAAAGGTATGGGATTTTGCCTCTTCCTGTATACACTAAGACTCTGTGAATAGAAAGTCTGTATTTTTGGTGGGTTTGTGTGTGTGTGTGTGTGTGTGTGTGTGTGTGCGTGTATGTGGGGGTAGGAGAGAGAATTTCCGTCTTCACTGTATAGGGGCATTTGAGGCAACATTGCCCGTGCTCAAAACAGTTTGTTTGTTTTTTTTTTCCACCTATCTCCCCGTATACCTAGATAGGGTGAAACAGATGCTCATTAATTCTTAAAATTTCTTCAAAATATATAATATACACTTTCAGATTAGTGAGATTAAGACACATGGTAGTTACATCGTTTGCAATGTTCCCAAAATCAATCAATAGATCAACAGCACTGTGTGCAAGGAAGACAGTCAAGCCGGAAGATTTTTTACCCAAAGCCTGAATAGGAAACGCTCCTTCTCAAGTTGCCATTGGTTTTCATAATCTAAGCAAACAAATGGTATTGTTGCACAATGTCAGTAGCCCACATTCTATTCCTTGTTTTGCTTTTAACAGACTGTGAAAAGACCAACAGCTGTTACTGAGCTAAGAAGAACTGAAAGATTCACAGTAGGTGGTACCACCTGTGCTTTTCTTGTTCCACCCTTTAAAATCTGTCACTTTATTTTGGAGCTGGGTGGAGAAAATAGCAGTGACTCAATGTCAGGGGGGATGAGTAGTCAACTGTGGCTCAATTCTGATGTGAAGGACTTCACAAATCACAGCAATGTGTGTTGATGAAGCTCTTCTCTTGCTTTTGCTTTATTTGAATTATTTAGAAAAGAACATAAATAAAAAGCAAACTTGAAATCAACTGACTTAACTTTAAAAGTGAATGAAAAAATTTACAACCCAGATTTAATGCAAGATTCTGTATATACGCAATTAATGGTCTCTCCCATATTGTGCTTAGTTTCGGTTTCTTTACCTTAAGGACTAGAAAAATACATTTGCCAAATAACTATATACTTGATCCTGGTAGTAGAGGAATTTCAAATTTAAGCAACTACTTGATGAAACATGCCTTAAACTTCCAAGTAAAGTATCCAAGGGATTACAGAAATAGAGAATTGTATCATTTGGGGACAAAAGTAGTTTTGAAATGTGATAGCTTGAGTTACCTACCACTGATATATAAAATTTCCCCTAAATGCTAAGTTTTAAAATGTTATATATAGAATGACTTAAACCATATAACAAAAAGTAAATCTTTTAAAATAAGCAAATACATAGAGTGCCTCAATTAAATCAGGGACTCCCTACTTAAACATGAGGCAGTATTTCTTCACCTTGCCATTCTAAACTAATTAATATTATAGAAATCCAAGTGGAATTTCGTTGTGCAATGAAGAAAGTTGCCAGGTGATAACCTCCTCTCATTGTTTTTATTGCTTTTCACACCTCCCATAGTTAATATAGAAATTTGCTCAAGACTAGACATGAAAGAGACCTGACCCCCAAGGATCTAGAAAAACCCATATTCTTCAATGATTTTCATTTATTAATGAAGATTGTAAGTTTTTGAAGGCTCAAAATAGCAAGACAGAATAAAAACTTTGAGACAAAGGACTCAAGGCAGTATGACAGGAACTTTTGTATCTATTGGAACCAAAGCGCATAAAGGTGATCCAGTCATTTCTGCACATTATGCTCATACCTTGCTCCAGTATTGTTTATTTTCTAAAGAAAAATTCCTGAATAAACTGTTTGGCAATATGGCATGTTTCAACTCCATCTAATTTTAACAATAGCTTCTGAAGCAAAGAAGGAAAATAAATACTCTAGGGCAAAAATATATGGTATGCATTTCAAGTATAACTTGAGAGTAATTTCCTTCAGATGAGTTAGTCTAAGAATTTAGCCAAGAAATAATCATGGTTTTTAATTGTCACTTTGGGAAACATATTTGAACCCACCTGAACATGTTAAATCTAGGTTTCCTATATAACATTAATGATAGGTTTTATTTGTAATCATAGAATCATCAGACATTAATTCAGAGAGTCACCCAAATGTAATCAGTCTAAGTTGTTATTGTTTTTGTTCCATCTCAAATTTCCCTATTAGTTGTCCTTTGGCACCTTTTCTATACTATTAATACATTGAGAAATTTTATTAATAAATATTATATACAGATAGTTCTTACTCTGAGCACATTCTTATTGATGGAGTATTTACTAAAATGTTTTGTTTTCCTTTCCAATCCAGTGACATACCTTTTTCTCCATATGTTGGCAATAGTACTATCCTACACATTGAAATCGTACACAATGATTACCACATTCGATGTTGGTAGTGCTACAATAAATATGTCTAGATAGCTATAAAATCTCTTTCTCTTATCAGTGTTTTTCATGTCCAGGGCATAGTCACTGATGTTGGTGGCTCAGTACTTAGATTCAGAGTGTGAAGTTTAGTGGTTTTTGTGACAAGTGGCTGACTGTCACACTGACAGCTAAGACCCATCACTTGGAATAGGGAACATCTCCCCTAAGGCTGCATAGTCAGGGTCATTCACCAGAAGCCACCACTTACCAAGAATTACCCAATGGAAAGAATAGATTTCCCAAGTGATTTCTTTTTCGACAAAGAATGTCAGGTTTTCTTTTACTCTTCCACAATTACTTCTGCTGACTTGAAGAACATACAGGAAGTAGACTGATATATAGAGCAGTTTCCATCAGATAACTCACCTCTGCAAAATGAGAAGGGAGCTGATAGCAAGATGCAGACTCATGAAAGATACTCTAGTGAAAATCAATATTGAATTTGAAAAGTGGATAAATGAAGTCTCTAACTCTGTATTTAACATAAGGCATTTCCCAAAGGAAAAATATTTTGAAAAAGTAAGTCACAAAATTTGTGCTACCAAAAGAGATGAGGGAGAAAGAAGGCAAAGAACTTAAACAGGGGGGTCTCTACTTTACATTTGAAGAGGCTACAAATGAGAAATATATTCTGCCCAAGGACCATAAGAAAATGTAGGCAAATATCTTGGATTGCATCTCGGTCCTCTTGGACTCTTGTCCAAATTTCTCTTTTCAGTAGGCCAGACTACATCAAATTTTAATAATTGATGACTGACAAGTTAAATTTCAGACAGTGAAATTACATCAAAGTACTTGGCTTGTCTAGGATGGGAAAATGATAAGGCCATTAATTCTAAAGTGAAACCACTTAGCATTTCACAAATTATATTTGTGATGCGAATGTCTAGTTGACAAGAATTATGCCTAAGGACAGAGAGATCATACAATTTTATCTAGGAACAAGTAGGTAGATGTACTACTGTATCTACTTAGCACGAAACCTATCTACTTTATAGTCAATTGATTATTTATTTATTTCCTTATTTAATTGGCACATTCTAATAGGAAATATTCGTGAGGTAAATTTGATGTTTCAATGTATGTATGAATGTTGAAAATGATCAAATAAAACTTATGTACTTCATAAATGTATTTCATTGCTTTATAGTAGTTCATCCAATAATATGTATTTATATTGAGTACAAACTGTGATCAGTATTTTTTAGCATTGTGAAAGTTTCCAAACATGGCTGCAGTTGATACCATTTGCTTTTCCCAATAACATATCAAGCCTATTTTTCTCCCCTTGAATCTGGGCTCGTTTTCTGGTTTGCTACCATAGATGCAGAAATGCTCAGCTCACATTCCCCTTCAAGCAAGAACTTACTATTCAACTGTGAGGTATACAGTTAGTAGAGAGCCTATAAATGTCAGCTGCTTTGGAGTCTGCCTCAGTTGTAGAGAGCCACATCACCTAAGGTCATTTCTTTTCCAGGTTATCATGAAATCAGTTCATGAGCAAGAAACTAAATGCCAGTTCATTTTTACCTAATGGAGGACACTCGGACAGGCTAGCCTTTCTCCAGAGCTCATTACCAGGTTGTCTGAGACTTTCGCACCTGCATTACTGATCAACTTTTTCTTTTGCACAATGTTGTTTCCTCTCTTTTCCTTTAATAGGTGTTCGTTTTTAATAGGTATACCATCGTAGCATCTACTTTTGTGGAAAACGACCTGATATTTGTTTTTGTCAATCAAATGTGACATAAGTAGCAAGTATCAGTTCCGAGACTAGATGTCAAAAAGTCTTGCAAACTTCCACTGTCTCTTGGAACCCTTCCATGGTACCATATTAATGAGTCCAATACATCATGTAGAACAGAAATGAAATATCCCAGTTGAGACCATCCAAAGCAACTGCCACCCAGACAACCCAGCAGTTGACTGTAGACACATGAGTAAACTGTTCTTAGACCAGAAGAACAGTCCAGATGAGCCCAGTCCAAATTGTCAAATAGCAGAATCAAGACCTAAATAAATGGTTGTTGATTTAAGATATCAAACTCTCGAGATAATTTTTCACATAGCACAAGCTATCTGCTACCATTTTTAACATATTTAAAAATAAAATCTTGAATGTGTTTAAATGTTTACTATTTTGTTTTAATTTTTATAAAAGGACTATAATAAAATATGTGTGTGTGTGTGTGTGTGTGTGTGTGTGTGTGTGTGTGTATACAATTTAGGATGGAGTTATTTCACTCAAATTCAGACAGCCCTGTGTTTATCTCTAGGGTTGCCTAGAATTGTGGCACTGACATTTGGCCAAACTAAAGATATTAGGCTAGCCAATTGTTTATCATGCGCTGTTTCAAGTTTGAAATTCCTTTATTGCACTCGGAGCCAGTTGATTTACTGATGCTTAAACTTAGTAATCAGTAGAGAACCTGACTAAATTATGTAATCAGAAGATCATGAAACATTCCATGTGAAACTCAGCTTTCCTGAAACCAACATTCTTTATACAAATTTTGGTGATTCAATTTAGAGACAAATCATGTCCTTGTGTTTGTAACACAGACTTAAGTGAAATGCTACTGAAAGTATTTTGGGCCCCTAATTCTTGTCTGACATCTCTTTCTCCTTCTTTTGCTTTATCATATACTTTGCCTTTATTCAAAGACTTATGTACATGTGCTCTATGGTGTCTTCTATATATTTTCAATTATATAATGCATTATACCACTTGCAGATATGTGTGCCTCTGTGTGTGTGCATATGTGCGTGTGTGTGTGTTTTTCCAGATACTCTTCAAAAATTCAGAAGAACAAGATTTACAAAATTTCTTAGAGGTTATAGATCTAAGAAAACCATATTTCCACAAAATAAAGATCAAAGTTGAATGTGCTTTTACTTTTTGATAAGGGTCTTTGTAAGTGTGAATGTGTTTACATGGGAATGCTTTGTTTGAAATTCTGCTTCTGAACCAGGAGCAAAGAAGTCCAATTACAAAAGAAAAGGTAGAAAACAACAGCATGAAGAGCAAGGTGGCTTCCCGTCTTTGCACAGCAAAAAAGTTAGCTTTCAAATATAAAGACTAAATACATATTGTTCATAAATATACAAACAACAGAATAGATAAATGATTTCACATCCTAACAATGACAAGTGAAAAAAAGTTACCATTTAATACAGAGAATCAACTTCATACTTGGGGACAATGGAACACAACTAAATAATATCAGGGCTCTGTAATAGAATATGTGTCCAAAGTAACATCTTTTAAAAACTGCATATGTTGCCTGGATATTCTATGAAAAACATTCCCTGAAACTGATGATGGTGGAAGGGTTCATGATAGATTACAAATATGTTACTAAATCTGGAAACAACTTTATTAATTTACTAGTATATGTCCCTAAACCATGAGCAGAAAAGATATTATTTTGTAAATTTTCTAGAGGAGAAAATTCCTGATATCCTTGATCATAGCACAAAATAATTATAAAGAAAATTAGAAAGAATATATCAAGGAGTGTAGAAGAATAAAAAGGAATGGGGGTACGCCACAGTGAAGATTCTTCAGCAACTCAAGAGTGATATTAGTGAGGGGGGAAATACTGAAGAGAAGGAATTCCAACAAATGCAGTAGTTATTAATAAGGATCATGATTTCTGCAGAAACATAGAGTTTTCATCCTTGCCAGAAACAATGTTACAACCTGAAGTGCAGAACTGAGTACAGTGATAATACTCACTGGTTTCACATATTCAACCATTCTCCGAAGTGCAAATCACTACTGGAAAGAAACTTAATTCTACTAATATTGTGTTACTATACGTTTTAATTAATAGATTAATAACATTGTTTTCTTCCTCATGAGAATTTGAACTTGGATTAATTCTAACTTTGTTGACCAGGTAAGCTAATAAGGTGTTATTTACTCTATGTTTCTAAGCAAGAATGATTACAGTGAAAACAACTACTGCTGGTAAATTTCATCTGGACTAGGAGATACAAAAATACCCTATAAGAAGCCATAGCTTCAGGCTTCCCAAGTGCGATGATCCTAGGTATATCTCTTCTGATGACTCTGGAATCTATACGTACAGAATTGTGACAAGAGATGTTAGCTTCTTTGAAGCATGAGACATTTCCTTCATGTCAGATCCTGCACCCACCTGATGTACATCTTATCTCCTTATACATAAGTGGCATGGGCCCTGAAACATCTCCTGCAGAAAATGAATGCCTAATGCATTTCTGCTGTTTTCTGACCTAAATCTTGCTGAGTATCCTGGTAACAAATGAGGATTTATGAGAATCATGGAGTCTAACTGTTATTTAATTCTGTGAAGATTCCTTTGTGGGCATCACACTGTATATCTGACAGCAGAAATGTGCTAATAAGATGTTATTAGCTCTTCGCTATTTTGAACTTGATTATATGTGAAGGCCCTATTTCCAAATCAGGTTACATTCACAGATACTGGGGTTTAGGAATACAACATGTTTGAAGGGAACATAGTTCAACTCATAATGGAAACACAGCCCTGAAGGGCTAAAATCATAAAGGTCAGATGGTTGCCTAGTAAATTAAATGAAGCATCCTCAAATTTTGTTTGATATTTTTTAAGTTATAAGCAGCATAAAAATAGCACATCTTTCCTTCACTACACCACAACTTTCCCCCTTCAAGGGCCAAGTGATTTCATTATATGACGAAATTCAAATAAATTTTTAAAAAATTCACTTCCGCCTGGCCTGGTAGAGGTATACACGTGTAGATCCAGCTACTCTGGAGGCTGAGGCAAGAGGATCACCTCAGCCCAGAGGTTTGAGGTTATAGGGTGCTATGATCATACCTATTAATAGCCATATTAATAGCTACTGCACTCTAGCTTTGGCAACATTAAAAAAAACTACGTCTCTAAAAAAATTAAAAATAAATAAATTTTAAAAATTGTAATCCCCTTTTCACACTCCAAGAACTTATCCCAATACAATTTTAAGATACCAAATTTGGTAACATAATAGATATTAAGGAAAATATGTATAGGCAGCAGAATATTTAGAAAAGTAGGTCTGTAATATTTTTTGAAGTCTGCATGCAAGTGCAAGACAATAGTCTTTCTCATATACTCCATGAGTCATGCATCTGTTAAAGTATATTTCTGATTTATGTGTAGTTAAAAGAGATATGGAGAAATAGGATACATTCTAGTGTGTAAAAACAATAAATATCCTAAACTGTGTAAAATAGAATAAAAATGTTAAAGTCAGTTTCTCAATAAAAAATAAACTTATAATATGGCAGATATATACTACTCATTGTTGTAACATAATCAAGTCACCATCATTATGAATTAAAATTTAGTTCTTCTCAGAGTTCTGGAGGTTACTATTTAAAAGCCTAATTTAAATCTCTTTAGTTTTTAAGAGCTGTTAAGCAAGTCTTTCAAATTTAATGTCAATATATATTTAATCATATTTTGAGATAAAATTGAGCCTTTGTTTTATAATATAGGTGATATTTGCCTGTTATAAATGCTGTCAGAAATGTACTCCTAGAATCTAATGCTACCTGTTATTGCTCTCCATTATTACTTACCTTGAGGAAATTTGTAGTGCCATGTGAGTCCTCAGGAAAAATAAAATGAGCTCACTTGGCAAAGTTCCTGGGTTAATGATCTATGGGATAATCATCCAAACACCTTAAATTAAGCAAACTATTTTAAACTAGACTTTGTTATAAATATATATATATATATATTTGCAATATAAAATGTTTTATGTAATTTGTATTTGTTTTTGTAATTTGTATTATACATGGTTTACATGTGTAATACTATTGGAAACTTAAAAATCATTAAATATTACATGATGAGTGTGCAAAAGACCTGCCTTTGTAAAGTTGCTCAGCATGTGTGACACTAAATGTTATAGGTGAGCATCCTTCAGTCAACACAAGATGGTTCCCAAAATCAAAGCCCTTATACAGATTTATATTTATATTTTGTTAAACATATCCAGTACGTCGTATTACATTATTGCCTTGGGCACACATAAAGAATATCAAAATGGTTGGACAGCTTAAACGGCCATTTATCTGTTTTCATATCTATAAAACTTATTTTATCCTTCCATTTCCATTTCTGAGATATTTGGGAAGTCTTTATTACAATTAACTATTGCTTAGTCTTCCCTTTGAACTTTAAGCTAAAAGTTTTGTTGAAAGCAGGGTTAGTCATTATACCTCTCCTATATGTAGAAGACATATTATTATTCTTTGAAGGGCAACCATTAGACTCACATTAGTTCTCTTTCTGTATTTGAAAAGGAATTTGTCTATGATATCTTTTGATTAATTACCTTTTGATCCATCCAGATAGTCTTTGCACTGGTACTCTAAAAATTCCAAAAATTCTTCTCCAGTTTTATCCATTTTTAAGGACCTTGTGAGAGCTCCCTTATTCAATAAAGGCCAGTGAGTGACAGCGCTTTCTCTTCTGGTAGAAGGAATAGTATGATTGAGTACATTTTAACTTCCTTTTTTCAGACGTTCCAAGAAGTTTTACCTCTTTTAATTTCTATAGCACCCTTTAAGGATTTAAACAACTGTTAGGATTCATATGATCATGACTCTGAAGCTTAGCGAGTTTAGGTTACTTTCCAAGATCAATTGTCCATTGTTGAGCTCTCAGCCACTCATGGGTCTTTTCCTGCCTCATGAAGCTGTGCATTTTTACCATTAAGTCACTATTTCATCATGGGAATATCATCAAACCGGAGTCTTCTAACTTTCTTTATTTGTAAAATTAGTGAGACAGAGGGATGCTGCCTTGTAAAATTGCTGACATGTAGGTTGGCTATATTATCTATTATCTAAAATGAGACATTTTGAGGTAAAAGGCCATTGTTAATAATTATGCCAGGGAAACTTACATGTAATTGCTGAGCAATCTGATTTTTCTCAATAGACTTCTAACTGGTTTGTTCTCATGTACTTTTGATCCAGCCTAAGCTGTTTGCCATAATTATTTGTGGCTCTCCCTTACCATAAGTAGTAAAATCCACAAGATCAATAACTTTTCCGTTTCTGCTCACCTCTTTTTCCCCAGAACCTAGACAAATGTCTGGAAATTATCAGACAACAGGCAATTTTAAATAACTGTATAAAAGAATGATTAGATAAGTGAATGACTGTTTGGTAAAAATGAATTAATGGTTTAAGGGGAAAAAGAAGGAAGAGGGGAAAAGCTGTTAGCTGAGTACTACGTAGCATATATTCTAAGTGACAGGGATGGCTGTGTAGGAAAACATAGTTCAGTATATATGGTACAACTTATTCTAGAGAATTTTACACTATTTTAGTTTGCCCAATGTAGTGGTGCTTGTTCATAGTAGCCAGGACTAGCATTTATATTTAGGAATTTAGGATTCATTAGGATAGGGATAGCCAATATCACATATTGAATCTCCCATCCTCCCTGTCCAAGAATGTTTCCAATAAATAATGTGCTAAAATTGGTCACAATACTGGGTATCCATCAACATTCAACAAATAGTTGAACATGGTATTTGGTGCTTAAAAGTTATTAATACTCTGTTTCTAGAAAAGATTCTTGGGTGGTTAATATCTTGGGATACAACAATAATTTAATGTTTACTGGATAAAAAAGTCTGGAAATTACATATACAATATTATCATACCCATTTGGTAATATATTCATAACAAAGATAATGAAAATTAAATCTTACAAAATGTTTAAGAGTTACCTTATGGAGATGAGATTGTAGGTGATTTATCTCATAGATAGATAGATAGATACATAGACAGATAGATAGAGGAGAGATGATAAATTCCCTAGTAATATCTAGACTGTCTACATAAACATGATTATAAAATTAATTAGAGCTAAATGCTGTTTAGTAAGATATTTTAGACCTATATTTTCTGTCTTTTCTAGTTGAAAATGAGGCCATTGCATAAGATTATGGATAAAAATCTAGGAAAATCATGGATTTATGAAAACTCCTATGATTATATCTGACATTCATTTCATTAGGAAAATATAAGAGGCAATAATTTTTAGAATATGGGTGTGTTAATACCTCAATTACATCAAAACATAAGATGACCATCCCAGAGCAAATCACACTTCAGTGTGAGTCAATGATTTAAAAATGTATCAAGTGTTACACAAAACAACCTTTCATATTATAACTGGAACTGAAATAATAAAAGGTACGTTTACCTAATCAGTCAACAGGAGCTATTTGGAAAAAAAATTTAAAAATGGCAATTTAAACATAGACTTGGATTGCTGCAAACCCTGGGCACCCAGTATGAGTTCTATTATTGAAAGTACCAAAGCTAGCTATGATATATATTTTATGAAATTCTCCTTTAGGCTACTCATCTGTAATGATATCCCACTGCTGTCATCCATATTGACTTTTCGTTGTCTCTAATATAGGTAGAGTGAAGCTAAAAGATTACTCATGATAGAAAGGAAGAACTAGCATTGAAGTAAAATGTAAAAAGCAGGTGTAAATGATTCTTTTCTGTAGCTTAGGAATCTTTTCCCCAGGTTAAAAATTCTTTTTGATATATTTCAACCACAGGAATTTGTCTTATAATTAACTAGCTTGGGAAATAGAGAGATCCAGGGATTTTCTTTTCCCCCATGTGCAAAATGCTTTTCATTTTATTCTCTTTCTAGTCAGCATTCTAGCCTTTCACCGAAATCCTAACAGTTGATACCGTGAAACAGAACATAATTTTTCTTTTTTCCAAAAAATTATGTTCTTGACTGCAATAGATTCCATATATGATCAAAATAAACCAGCTAATAGTCTTTAAATCATTTGATATTTAAGAGAGATATCATATAAATTGAAAGTATTATTATTTTGAAAGGCATTAAATCTCAGATAAATTAATTCTAATTGGTTTCATGACATTTCCTTCATAAAGTGTATATCTCTTACCATACATAATATCTCTTCTTGAAGTTCCAAAAGAAGTGTATCATTATTAAATGACTGATGATTAATATGAAATATTAAAATTGTTGGAACTTTTTAGTATTTTATTAAAACTATTAATCTTATTTTATTAGAAACTTTTCACTGCACAAGATTGGCTAAAGTGTGTTAATTTAATGCCTTCAAATAACCAATTCGCATGCCCTAATGTATTGCTACCTTTCCCTAGAATTTTTACCATGTTCTCTTTTCTATGCTTCTGTTTAATTTACCACCTGGAAATGTGGGTACCACCTAAAGCTATCTCCCTGAGTATCTCAATTGAAACACTATAGATAAGAAATTTTAGAAGATCTAAAATCTCATGCATATTGGTTTAAACATTCAGCAATGTAGTTTTCCTGAAGATAATAAATATATAGGAATTAAATATCAATGTCAAATAATGGTGTTTCAAAACAGGTTTCTTTTGATTGTCACACTGAGTTAGACAGGGAATAGGACAGGTTGAATAACCAGGTTGAAACCTTTTAAATAATTTTAACCCCAGCATGCCAGTGAAGACATTGATTGTTGTACATTAATGAAGCCTGTGCTTCTTTGACCAAATAACAATCTATTCCTCCTCTTCTTCCTAAACTTAATCATATGGATTGACTGCTAATGCAGGTATAAATAGTATACATCTTGTCAAGAATGCCTCTTTGTATGAGGGGAAAGTGCTAGTCAGCCCATCAATTTCAAAATAGTCTCATTCTCTATTCTGCTGAAGTCTCTTTAAAAAAAGTAAAAGAAAGAAAAGAAAAAAAGGGTTGATGAAGCCCATCAAGAGAATGTATTTTACCCTAGAGAATAAGAATAAAAACTTGAGAAATAATTGCTATGCCTTCTTGTGTAAGCCTGAGAAAAGAAATGCTTGAGCAATAGAATATATGGATTGCTTCCACAAGGAAAAACTACTGATTTTTTAAATGTGCTGATTCAAAAATTGCTGTGATTTTAGCCCAATCTCAATTACAGTGCCATAAATTGATGTCCAGCTTCATTATGCCATTTTCTTCCTTAAGAATACCTATAGAAGCAACAATGCTGAATAGAGGAGAGTTTTAAAAATTATTATTTTCTACATAGAATATAGCAAATAGTCTTGACTGCAGATTTTGTTTCCCATGGATAAATGCAATAAAAGCTATTATATGTCCAGAAATCTTACAATTAGTGAAATACATTTAACTTAATTTCACCCATTGCAATGATCTTTCCATAGGCTTTGAAAATTTACTTCATATATATGCATTTTGTATATGCATGCATATACACAGGTATATAATTATATGATATATTATGTTTGGTATTCAGTATCCATTTCTACCACAGTGTATGCAGTGCCTTTTTGTACTATAAGATCTAGGAAGACAGCCTATTTCAGTCCCCAGACCTCCTTGAAGCTAGATCTATGAATTTGAATTAGATTCTGCCAAAAGGAAGCACTTGTTTGAGTTCTGGAACATTAGTTAAGGCAAAGGCCTTCTTGCTGCAGTTACTGTCTACCAGGAAGGTCATGAAGATATGAGTACTAGCTGTCACAGTGCTCCAATATCTAGACTTGAGCTTCAAGATAACCTAGAGACAATTGATGCAGATGATGCCTGCATCCCAATGTCTAGCCATCAGCTTAATGAGTGGGAACACCTGAGGAGCCAGATTCAGCATTTTTGTCTCCTCTGGATTAGAACTGAGGTGTTAGTACATATTTGAAGTCATGAATCCACTGGTAGCCACTTTTCTTTTGTTTCTCCAGACTTTTCTGTAATTTGTAGTCATGTGATGCCTTGCATTAGATCTCTTCTTGAAAAAAAAAAGGAATGTTTTTAGTTTTGTGGACCGTTACTCAAAAGGGTAATATAGACAGGGAAAAGTAAAATTCTCCTATAATAGGTTTTGGAAGACCAGAATGGAATTTCACATTACCTTCACCTCAACACTATACCCCATTCTTATACTACGTGCTTGAAAAAAATCTTTCCTAGAATGATAGGGAAATTCTGAGCATGAAATCTACTCATATAGCCACGATAAAAGCTTTGAAACCTCAGTGAAACAGGTAGAGTGTGGGGAATTAAGACTTAACTTTAAAGTTGAAACCATTTTCATTTTACAGAAATAAAATTAATCATTGAAACCATTTTCTTTTCTTATGGAAAATCATGAAATTGGATAGTACATGGATATTTTGTTTTCTCTGCATCCCATTCTATGGAGACTAATCTTTTCCTGATTTGACACTGTTTTTTTAAAACACGTGTGGTTAAGGTATGCTTAATGCCCTGACTCTAACACCCAAGTAATGGATCTCGATCCTAGCTTGAACTTTGAGGGAGCTTCATCATTTTGGCCACAAGTATAGTTAAAGTGTTCTTCCTGACATTAGAAACTGTAATATCTCCTTACTGATATCAAAATCCATAAAATCCACTAAAGTTTGGAAATCCCAATCTATCTATGTGGAGAGAGTATGCCTGTGAGTGAAGCCAAGCCAACAACAGCAATGTCAAGGGTAGGAAAAAAAGAAGCAGTCCTGAAAATAATGTTTGAACATCCCCAGATCCAGCTGTGCTTGGAAACAGTTTGAATTGCATAATACACAGTAGCACAGACATGTAAGCTTTTGATTTGTTTTCAGCTTAGGTTTAAACTTGCACTTCCAATATTGAAACTCAATTAGTCCTAATATACATCCATTCTTTGCAAGAATACTCTGAAGCCACATTAAATAAGTAGATTAGGATGTAAAACCAACTGTTCTGTTTGCTAATATATATGAATATCAGTTTTAGGAGAATTTTATAGATATTGTTAGTTTTCTAGGAAAGATTCCTTTTTAAATATGGATTTAACCTTTTTTTTTTCCTCCTGAAAAAATATTGCTTGGTCTTGGAAATACTGTATAACTTTGAGCCAGTTTTAGTCATAGGAATATTATGCACACAGTTCAAAGGACCATGCCAAATGTGCATAACCTGTACTTATTAGCAGGAAGAGGAGTCTATGAGCAGAAAGTGAAACTCCAGATACAGAGGAGATGATATGGGGCACCGGTTTTGGCAGAAGCTGATCTGTTCTAGGTGGCACTTTAGACAGAGAGGAAATCAACATGAAAGTATCCAAAGTTAGTGATGTTGTCTCTCAGAAATTTTATGTCTAATAGAAATTAAATTTCATTATATAGGTTGCACATGCCTAATGTAAAAATTCCAAATTATCTAAAAATCTAAAATTTGGAGGGCCAATATGATACTACAAGTAGAAAATTCTACACCTGACCTCATGCAACAGGTTAAAGTCCAAACATAGGTAGACAACAGTTTATTCAACGTTCTCAAAAGAGAAAAGATATTTTTTGCACAAGCCCAGATTTCTCAGTGCAAGCACACCCATAAAGAGTAAAGATGAATAACATGGCATGTGTGCGAGCCGGATGTGCCAAGAGCACGTTCACCATGATGTCTCACCTCGGGCCAAGACCTATGTGCCTTATCCACTGTGCTTTTTTTGCTCACTTTCTGCTCTCTGGTGTAAAGATATTGTTAAAAATTTCAAAAAGGCCTGCTGATAACCTCATAGGTAACAGCGATAAGAAGTAAAGGAAGGGCCAGGTGTGTTGGTCTTCTCCTTTAATCTTCACACTTTGGGAGTACAAGGTTAGCAGATCCCTTAAGACCAAGAGTTTGAGACCAGCCTGGGCAACATGGCAAAATCTCATCTCTACCAAACAAATACATATAAGAATTAGGTGGGTGTGGTGGTGCATGTCTGTAATCACAGATATTTGGGAGGCTGAGATAAGAGGATAATTTGAGCCTGAGAGGTCGAGGCTGCAGTGAGCTGTGATCATGCCACTGCACTCCAGCCTGGGCCACAGAGTGAGAGAGTGTCAAAATAAATAAATAAATAAACAAACAAACAAACAAACAAATAAATAAATTACTGTGATTTTTATGTACATCACCGAAAGTCAACCTGTTGCAAGATCTGGACAGCAATATAAATTTGTATAAAGTATATATAAAACTCTAATGAAGTTAATGTTAAGATGTATGTCCTATCCTTATATATCACATGTGTATGCGAATGTTGCAAAATTCAAAAATATCCAAAATCCAAAATACTTCTGGTCCCAGGTATTTCAAACAACAGATACTTAACCTGTATTATTAATTATATAATACTATTTTAAATATTATTATATTAATATGAAATATAATATATAGATAAATTAATATATTAAATTACTGTTATAGTCTAATCTATCATATTAACATTAGATAAAATGTATTATATTTTAGTATATCGTATCATATATTAATAAATTAAAGGTTATTAAAATTAATACTATAATTATTATAAATTATTTTTATTTATCCAAATGATTTATACAATCTTATTACATATCAAAGTCTTGTATCAGCTATCATATTAGTAAAATATGAGAGAGCTCCAAGAAGTTAAGCAGAGATGCAATGGAATTATTAACATAATAAAAGATACAAAAATTCACAGAACAACAACATGTAGAGGTAGAGTGGAGCACACAGGGTGAGCAAAGACATTTCACTAGATTCAGAACTGAGGCTGAGACTACAGATTATAATCAGGTGCCGTGGGTGAATCTTATTTTACTCCTCTATTACAGACATATTTTTGAAGGGAGGGATTTAGCAAACTGGATTTCCTAAAGTCAAAAAAGACAGGGTCCACTACACATCGACCAGATGGCTAAATGTCAAAATATTGACAATACCAAATGCTGACAAGGATGCAGAGGAACAAGATCACTAAAACATTACTGGTGAGGACATAAAATGTTACGGTCAGTCTGATTAACAGTTTGCTCTTCCTTCCTTCCTTCCTTCCTTCCTTCCTTCCTTCCTTCCTTTCTTTCTTTCTTTCTTTCTTTCTTTCTTTCTTTCTTTCTTTCTTTCTTTCTTTTCTTTTCTTTCTTTCTTTTTGAAATAGAGTCTCACTGTGTCACCCAGGCTGGAAAGCAGTGGCGCGATCTCGGCTCACTGCAACCTCCACCTCCCATGTACAAGCGCTTCTCATGCCTCAGACTCCCAAGTAGCTGAGATTACAAGCACGTGTCCCCAAGCCCAGCTAATTTTTGTATTTTTAATGGATACAGAGTTTCATCATGTTGGTCATGCTTGTCTCAAATCCCTGACCTCAAGCGCTGGGATTACAGGTGTGAGCCACTACACCAGGTGCATTTTCTTATAAAACAAAAAATGCAACTATCATAGGAGCCAACAATTGCACCTTTGGGCATCATTCAGAAAGAAATAAAAATTTATATGTTTTCCCAAAAACCTGTACACAAGTATTCATAGTAGCAATACATTTAAGAGAAAAACTGGAATCAACCCAGATGTCCTTCAGTGGAATAGTAATTAAACTGTGTACATCATCCATAATATGGAACACTACTTAGCAATCCAATAGGAACAAACTTCTGATACATACAACGAGTTGGATGAATTGCCAGAGGGGTATGCTGAATAAAAAATATCATTCTCAAAGGATATTTACAGTATGATTTTATTTATATAACATTTAAATAATGATAATATTTTTAAAATATAGATTTGTAGATGTCAGGGGTCAGGAACTGAGGGTCAGGGGACTGTAGGGAGGTGAGTGTGATTATGAAAGGGTATTAAGATGCTGGAACTACTCAATATCTTGGCCTTGGTGGTGGATATAAAACCTACACAGAGTGATAAAATTGTATAAAACTTAGACACGCACACACACACACACACAAAGGTAAAAATGAAACTGGGAAATTTTGAGTTAAGATTGGTGAAAAGTAGCAATATCAATATTCTGACTGTAATAATGTACTCTGGTTTTACTGAAAGTTATCAGCAGAAAAACTTAGCAAAGTGTGCAAGGGATATTTCTGTGCTATATGTTACAACCTAAAAGTGAATCTACAAATATCTCAGGAACAATTTTAATTTTTAAAACAGGCTCTAAACCCATAATAAAGAGATAAGGGCTTGTGTTTGTCATGCAGGTAGTAAAAGGAACATGACTTGATATTAGTTATAGGCAGGCGAAGTTTTAAATACTGGAGCTCTATTTGAAAGTCAGTTTAAATCCTGCCTGGAATGGAGTAGCTTTTGATTTAAAATAAGTTGCCTATGACTAAAATAAATAATAGATCTAATTAAAACATACATCTTATAGTGTATGTGTGTTTGTGCATATATGTAATATGTGTATGTGTGTTTATTGTTTTTTTCTGAGATGCTAAGTTTTTCCATTTGTATTTTCAGGTAAATTCTTTAAAATAGTGTAGTTCATAACTAATAAATGAGAAAGATAACTTAGTTCTTTATGTTTCTGGATCAATCACACAAGGTCTAAAACAGGCTAAGAATATTAATTCATTTATTTGAAATACCTCGTTATTTAATATAATAGAAAATACATGACATTGATTCAGGATATTTAGGAATAAATTATTATAGTAAACCTCAGATAATATTCTTTTGAATATTTTCTTATCTGAAACCACTCTCCTCTTAGAGAATGTATTTATAGAACAACAACAACAAATTTCTTCATTTCCTTTCTGAGTTCTTTTATATCATTTTTTTTCACTTTTTAAAGAACTTTTAAAATTGAGACCTGATTGACATCAGAAACATGGCAGAGTAGAAAAGACCAGCCTTAATTTTTGCACACAAACACACACACACAAACAAACATATATATATATATATATATATATAGAGAGAGAGAGAGAGAGAGAGAGAGAGAGAGAGAGAGACAGCTACTCACAAACAGAAATAGCTCAGAGAGGGCCCATTAAAGAATTTGCAGCAACACAGTGGTGCAAAAGAATAAATAAATACATAAAAAGGTGAACATTCATATAGAAAAGATAACTGGTGAGATCAACACATCTGAGAAGCCAGGCGACTTCTAGTGCAAAAAAGAAAGGCAGAGGGCCACAGGCATTAGCCACATGGTGAAAAATCATTATAGTCCCCAGTGGCCTGCTCCACAGAGAACACCAGTATTCTCAGCACTTAGGCAACCAACAGGCATTCCCACTGTGGAACACCAGAAAGGGAGATGAGGCTGCACATCTCTTCCCAACCCAAGAAGCTGCTACTATTGAGCGGCTTTCAGAAAGGAGCCACCACCTCACCAAGCTTACACGTGCCTTGACCCCAGGACAATGGCCACTGTACAAGTGCAAACACTCCAGACTCAGGCTCTGTGGCCACCCTATGTTAACTCAAATCTCAGAAACCAGAGCCATCACTCTGCTATAAAATTATGTACTGTCATCCAGCCTTTGTGGTTCCCTTTATAGAGCACAGGCAGAGTAGATTTAGGATAATTTTAGAGGCCCTAGAATTTTTGAAATTGTAAATGAGTATTGGCTTCAACTTAATTTCACCAGTTGCTATATATATATATATATATATATATATATATATATATATATATGAGAAGTAGTCTTGCTCTGTTGCCCAGGCTGCAGTGCAGTGGCATGATCTTGGTTCACCACAACCTCTGCCCCCAGGGTTTAAGCGATTCTCCTGCCTCAGCCTCCCATGTTGATTGGATTACTGGTGCATGCCACCATGTCTGGCTAATTTTTGTATTTTTAGTAGAGATATGGTTTCACCATCTTGGCCAGGCTTGTCTCGAACTCCTGACCTCAGGTGATCTGCCCGTCTCAGCCTCCCAAAGTGCTGGGATTACAGGAGTGAGCCACCATGCCCAGCTTGCATTATCTTTTAACAAGATATCCAGTTTCTTGAAGCTTTAATGTCAAGCGTTGACTTCTCCTCTCTATCTATGATAGTCCTAGATGGCATCTTCTTTCAATGTGAGGCTGTTTTTTCTACATTCAAATTCTGTTATTTAGTGTGGCCACATTCAACAATGGTTTTAGCTAGGTCTTCTGGATAACTTGCTGCAACTTCTCCATCAGCACTTGATGCTTCACCTTACTCATATATTATAGAGACAGCTTCTTTCCTTAAATCTTGTAGATCAATCTTTATTACATCAAATTTTTCTTCTGCAGATTTCTCACCTCTCCCAGCCTTCATAGAATTGAAGAGAGTGAAAATAATAATAAAATTTTAATATTATATAACTAGATAGTACTCTTACATAATTTTGTTATAGAAGCACAATTGGACTAAGACAAAGATTAAGGTCAGAATAATAGGTGTTGTGTAGAGCTGGTACAGAATTTCATGGCTAAATTTGAAAATGAATCTTAATGATCAAACAGCCTAAACTGAGTTAATAAAAATAACTCCTCAGACCATTAGTGGAGTTCACATTTTGGGTAGAAATTTAAGACTCAGGCTTAACTACTTCGTGGTAGAGAAATTTTACGTATAAGTTCTCACCATCTAGCTTATACCTTGGTACAGAGGTGTTTTAGTCTGCTATCCTGCTGCTAATAAAGACATACCTGAGACAGGGTAATTTATCAACGAAGGGGGTTTAAATGACTCACAGTTCTTCAGGGCCCTGGAGGTCTCAGGAAACTTACAATCATGATGTAAGAGGAAACAAACACATACTTCTTTACATGGCAGCAACAGGAAGTGTTGAGCAAAAGGGGGGAGAGCCCCTTATAAAACCATCAGATCTCATAAGAACTCATTCACTATCATCAGAACAGCAGCATGCGAGTAACTGCCTCCATGATTCAATTATCTCCACCTGGTCCCTCCCATGACACGTGGGAATTATGGAAACTACAAGATGAGATTTGGGTGGGGATGCAGCCAAACCATATCATTCTGCCCCTGGCCCCTCCCAGATCTTATGTTCTCACAAATAAAACATAATTGTGTTCTTCCAACTGTCCCCCAAAATCTTCACTCATTCCAGCACTAACTCAAAAGTTAAAGTCCAAAGTCTCATCTGAGACAAGGCAAGTCCCTTAAACTTATGAGCCTGTAGAATCAAATGCAAGTTAGTTACTTCCTAGGCACAAAGGGAGTACAAGCATTAGGTAAATACATTCATTCCAAATGGGAGAGAGTGGCCCAACCAAAGGGGCTACAGTTCCCATAGAAATCCGAAATCCAGTGGAGCAGTCAAATATTAAAGCTTCAGAATGATCTCACATCTCACATCCAGGTCATGCTGATGCAAGAAGTGGGCTCCCACAGCCTCTAGCAGCTTTACCCCTGTGGCTTTGTAGGTTACAGCCCCCCTCCTGGTTGCCTTCATGGGCTGGCATTGAGTGTGTGTGTAGATTTTGCAGGAATATGGTGCAAGGTGTCAGTGGATCTAGAATTCTGGGGTCTGGAGGATAGTGGCCCTCTTCTCACAGCTCCACTAGCCAGTGCCCCAGTGGGGACTCTGTGTCAGGGCTCCAATCCCACATTTCCCTTCTGAACTGCTCTAGAAGAGATTCTGTATGAGGGCTCCACTCCTGCAGAAAATTTCTATCTGGACATCCAGGTGTTTACATACATCCTTGAAATCTAGATGGAGGTTTCCAAACCTCAATTTTTTACTTTTGTGGACCCACAGGCTCAACACCACATGGAAACTAACACGGTTGGGGCTTGCACCCTATAAAGCAACAGACCAAGCTGTACCTTGGCCCCTTTTGGCCATGGTTGGAGTGGCTGGGACATAGGGCACCAGGTCCCAAGGCTGCATACAGCAGGGGTGCCCTAGACCCAGCCCAGGAAACCATTTTTCCCTCCTAGGCCTCTGGGCCTGTGATGGGATGGGCTGCTGTGAAGATCTGTGACATGCCTTAGAGACATTTTCCCCATTATCTTGGTCAATAACATTTGGCTCCTTATTACTTATGCAAATCTCACCAGAAAATTGGGTTTTCTTTTCTATTGCATAATTAGGCTGCAAATTTTCCAAACTTTTATGCTCTGCTTCTTCAACCCTTTGCCACTTAGAAATTTCTTCCACCAGATACCCTAAATCATCTCTCTCAACTTCTAAGTTCTACAGATCTCTAGGGCAGGAACATAATGTTGCCAATCTCTTTGCATAGAAAGAGCGACCTTTACTCCAGTTCCCAACAAGTTCCTCATCTCCATCTGATACCACCTTAGCCTGGACTTTATTGTCCATATCACTATCAGCATTTTGGGCAAAGCCGTTCAACAAGTCTCTAGGAAGTTCCAAACTTTCCCACATCTTCCTGTCTTCTAAGCCCTCCAAGTCTCTAGGAAGTTCCAATTTTTCCCACAGTTTCCTATCTTCTTCTGAACCCTCCAAACTGTTCCAACATCTTTCTGTTACCCAGTTCCAAAGTTGCTTCAACATTATCGGGTATCTTTACAGCAGTGCCCCACTACTTGGAACCAATTTACTCTATTAATTTATTCTCATACTACTAATAAAGACATCCCAGAGACTGGGTAATTTATGAAGGAAAGAACTTTAGTTGATTCAGTTCCACAGGGCTGGTAAGGCCTCAGGAAAACTATAATAATGGCAGAAGGGGAAGTAAACCCATCCTTCACCTGGTGGCAGCAAGGAGAGGTGCTGAGCAAAAGGGGAAAATGCTCTTTATAAAACCATCAGATCTTGTGAGAACTTACTATCATGAGGACAGTAGCATGAGGATAGCCACCCCCATGATTCAATTACTTCCTACAGAGTCCCTCCCATGACACATGGGAATTATGGGAATGATGATTCAAGACGAGATTTGGGTGAAGACACAGCCAAACCATATAAAGAGGTCTACACATATTTATTCTCAGAGGAACCTCCATGATACATTCCAACCATAACCATTTCTCAGTAATAGATAATCCCATTTAGCATTGTCTTCCTCTCCAAAAGCAGTTTCCTTCTTGCACATTCTTAGATGGTTTGTTTCCATTATATATGTCCCAAAGAGACTTTATGCTGTTCTTCTTATTTGCTTTTTGAGTTTTTTTTATATAAAAAGGGAACTCAGGTTTAAATATCAAGTGTGCTATACTCTTGGTATCAAATTATCTATTTTCTGTAAAATCTAGGTAAGATTTTACCTTCTGCATGAATCTATGAAGAGCTCATAGATGCAAGATTTTCTCCCTTAGACAATTTATAGTTATATTGCCAAATATATACTTTGAAACTTAAATTTAAACAGGTTTTATTATTAATCTTACATTTAGTATCTGCCTTGAAGATAGAAATTACGAAAAATTATTTATTGGATTTTTTAATTCTTCATGTTGCCCAATGATTTCTATTCAATAAGAACTCAGTACATAATTGTTAATTTATATTGAACAAAAATTTACTACATCCAAGCAATATAAGAAATGGACATACGTGTCTTCTTAAATAAAAAATAGATTAATACATAGGTCATCTTTATACTATTCAAGGCACATGTCCAATCCTTAAAATTCATATAGATAATCTATCTTTCAGGTCACAAATGCACAGTTTATAAACATGCTCCCTAAATAGACATCTCAACTGGAGATTAAAATTTCCACATGTGCTGTCATAAAATTTCCTTCTCCAAATTTCTAGGAATGGATCATATACTCCATATTTCAGGAGCTTCAGGAATACCCTTCTATTTCTTGGTTTTACTCAAGAAGAAAAATAAGAACGAGAAAGGGAAAAACTGTTCATTAAGGCTGTGTCTCAAACTGAATAGAATTGACGGCGATTTTCATAGAGCCCAAGGTTTAAATTGTGACTAAACTTTAAATGGCATATTGACTCTATTTTAGTGGCATTATAAACAAGAAGGACTTCTTGTATATGCTTATGAGAAATTAAGCAATATGCGTAACATAATTTCCTTGTCAAAAATATTTTTTCTTCATTAAACAACTTACGTTTATCAGTGGTGAGTTTCGGACTGCCTATAATACATTCCTTTTAGAGTTTCATAATTCAAGATACGAGGAGCTTGGCAAAGGTTAAAAATATAATGTAAAATATGACTAAATATTTTAAAAATGGAAATGCCATTCTAAAAACTATAGATTTCAGAATAGAGCAACAATGACTAAGGACTGTCTGCATTTTGATTTCCATCGCTTAGAGTACCTCTTTCACAGAGAATGGCAATCACATATTCTCCTCTCCACTGAAGCACCAATAACAATGAATGTGGTAGAATTTCAGTTAAATATCCAGGTGAGGTAGGGGGAGCTACCATTTAACTTGATATATAAATATAATATTGATATATATCTATATATATCAATAAAAATTGATATATATATATCTCAAGTGACATCTGGGTTTGAAGTCTAATACAACATTCTTCATTGGGAATCTGAAAACTGAAGAACTTGGAGAGGGAGAAAATAGGAGAAGGAGAAAGTGGTTTTTTTTTTTATCATTAGTGCAGTCTAAAAAAATCTTGATCATTTTTAACGTTTTCCTCAGGTTGATTTCATGCAATTCCTTTTACTTTTTAAAGCTTTCTCCTGAATTGTCAAGCACATTCATTTCCTCTTTAACATCTATTTTTAACATCCACTTTTAGTTAATCATGTCAGTTTCTCCCCTCAAACCCAGAGGTCCTTGGAGGGGTCCATAATCCATGACAGTATAAATTGGAGTGAATGCCAGATAAGTTCCTCCTGGGTAAGTCATCTAGTTTCACATTTATTGCCTTGGCTGCTTTATTAGATAAAATCAATGTCTATGAAATGTTTCACACTGATGCCCCTCAATAAATATTTTGTCTGATCATCCCTGGCACCAATATTAATTAACGGGACTTTGTAAGAACTCTTTGCAACATGTTTTGAAACACCCAGATGATAGTTGTATAAAATGCATCACATTGATTAATATTTATTACCTGTTTAAAATGTTATAGCTATCACTTTAGCACCTAGACACTTTGACAAGAACACTATTTTAGCATTAGAATAAAATTGATAGGAAGACAAAGTATCTTATTTGCTGTTATTGCTAGATCAGACCATGCCCAGGGACTAGAAATTCGAAGTAACTAGGTACACATGGTTTTAGAGATGACTTGGAATTTGTTTTTCATAGTAATACCTCTTCCCCTTATCTTCCTTATTTGTTTTCTCTAAATTTTACACTGTACTTTCCCTAAAGAATTTTTTCAAACTTAACTCTCAGAGGCATCCAGTCACTTTGTTGTGACTCATATGATACCTCTGCCAGGTCTTCTTTGGTCCACCACTCCGATATTCATATTCCCCTTGAATCACACCTAGACTCCTTCTTTTTTTTCTGACAAACATATTCTAATTTGCTATTACCCTTACACATATTTGCTATTGCCATTTTTTACACATAATTCCTGGGTAGAGGATTTACTTCAGCTTAGAAAACATGTTTTGAAGAGTAAAGCTGTGTTTCATTTGGTAATTGTGTACATGGGTAGAAATTTTAGTGATTAAGAAATGGTTTTCGTAGGTTATCTTGAAAGTATTCTAAGAAAAGTATACTATATTTTACACTCCAAGAAGAGATACATAAGTACCACCTTTCTTCTGTAGGGATGTAACTCAGAGAAGACAAGGGTAAACAGCACAGTAATTCTATTTTATATTAAGAATCCTAGCACAAATAATTAGGTCTATGAAAGTCAGGTTTTTTCCCCACATGCACCTACTGTCCTTTAAAAAATTATGGAATATTAAATTATTTTCCTGGGAACATAACAGCAATCTCAGAGACTTCCAAGAAATGCAATTTTTATTCTCAGAGCACCCTCAATGACATGACCAAATACCCAGAAGGCCTTAATGTTTTCTCAGAAATTAAATATTTTCAGATGATTTGAATATCCTCAAATGTTCAGGAGCACATAGAAAACAAGAAACTAAATGAACTGAATTGGCTTTATTTAATGGATATACATTGTTTAACCTACCAACATTATAAAGCAATAAGCATGCAGAGAATTTGTATTATTTTGTTTTGTATCTGCCTATGATATCCTGTGCTGACTTAATGACACCTAACCACATTTTATAGAGAATCATATCATTCAAAAAATATTTTAGTGATTTATCCTATGTTTCTGAAAGAGCATTTATCTAGTTTGTTCAAGATGAGTCTGATCATATCTTTATATACCAACTCTGTCATATGAAATATCATTACAATTTATATTTAGAATGATAAAAACAGCATATAAATTTTTGCTGAAAAAGTCACTCATTGATCAAAATAGCACCCTGCTTGAATCTCTTCTTAGAAAATTGGAGGGCAGAAAAAGATGTCTGTGGCCACACATTTGCTAATGGTTGAGGAATTAAGCAAAGATTTCAGATAGTGATGCTAAATTATCTTAATAGTTGAATTTGTTTTCTACTTTATGTTCCATTGTAGACTACCATTTGTCTTTAACATGATGAAAATTTATATAATTTGTCCTCAAGAGATAATCAGTTATGATCAATTCTAAACCAGTTTCCCCAAAGAGATTACTAATAAACAATATAATTTTTTATATTAAATTCATTTAAGAAACATCAGCCAATTTATACTAGTTCCGTCCATGGTTTTGATAACTATCATTGTTCTTAGTTTTAATAATTAAAGACAAGGAGTACTGAATGATTCTATATCCACCTATAATGCAGTTTAAGTTTATGGTAATTATGATTTCAATAGGGACAATTTAACCATCAACACCCTTAAAATATAGCTGAAAATATACAGTAATTTGAATGTTTGCCTTAACTCTAAAATATGTAGAAAACAAATTTCTGTGTCACTACTAGACTAGAAGAGAAAAGACATATGAAGAAATTTGATTAGCCTCAGACTAACCTAATTGCTAAAAGCAATTGATTTATTAACAATTGATTTAAAAGTGAGTTTTCACATTTTAAGTAAACTTTAAAAAAATAGTATTTTCACATTAGAAATTGAATTTATTTTATTACCACTTTAGGAAAATAAAAGTGGTTGAGTACTTTTATTATAAAAGTATATAGTACTCAAAAGTATATAGTACTTTTATTATAAAGATATAAAGATACTTTATATCTTTATTTTTTCATTATATTAGATATTATTTTATTGCTATCATTATGAAATAGCTGTTACACAAAATGAAGCAACCAATCAATTGATATGATAATATTAATGAATGATAACATCTATCCTACACTAGATGTGAAGAATCATTGAAGAATGAAGTCAGTACGTCTTAAAATAACAATTTTTAAAGTTCTCAGATTGCTTAAATTAGGATGCAATTTCTATTTTAATTTGTATTTGCATCTTTACAAAGATGTAATAGCAATTAAACTGCACAGACATATAAAACATGTAAGTAAAGGTAAGTACTGTGCATTAAATAAATCATGTACTTTTAAAAAATAATTGAGAGTAATCACATTTGCACTTCATAAATTCTGTATTCCAACCCATTTGTACCCATATATTTTGAAATTTTACATCTGCCCTTTCACCATTATTTGACACCCTGTTCAGTAACAATCTACTTGAACCCAAGAAGCTAAAGCAGTCAGAACATTCATAACTTTCAACGAATTCTAATTGAGCAATAATAAAACCCTGAGCCCTCTACCGAATTATCAAGAGTTTATCGGTTGCTCTGTCAATAACTGCATTGTGTTCTATTTACCAGTTTCCGCATTTCAGAATGAAAGATGCTTCTTTCTATTAAAGTGAGTTAGGGATTATATTCTGTAAGAACCACTATGGGTGATGGACGCCTAAGTGATCTCCCGCTGCCGGCCTTGGACCGTGAAGCAGCTGAGAATACTAATAGCAACAAAGCATGAGTAGTTTTTGCTAGTTTAAGATCGTACTAGTCTCCATTGATGTAAACAGGGATTTGATGGATGCAATGATCTGTATGTTCACCACAAGCAGCACATAAAACTTATTTTAAATTGTTTATCCTCTTAGATTTCATTTGAAATGTAAAATGGACTGTGACTGAACTGATGGTAATATTGGAATATGACTTTGAGGCACACAATTAAACTAACACACAGCTTCTTTGTCACAGTGTCTTACTTTGTGTTAGTTTTCATCCCCACAGACTTTACTGAGAAGAAAACGAAATTTTAAAAGAGAAAGATGAAAGGAAAAAACAATGATGCTCAGGGAAGACCTACTGCTTCAAATCAGGGATGAAGAGAGAATATAGCAATTTTGGCTACAGAAGCAGCATTTAGGGCCCTGACATACCTGCTGATTTTCACACCACATTCCATCAGCGTGTACATGTCTGGGATATGCAGTACCTTTAGCTAGTGACTCTCCTATAGAGAAAAAGCGTTTTAAGATTCTCTTCTCTGTGGAGCCCTCCTCTCCAGAATTCACAAAATGTACTCCTATTTTCCAGACTCAGCATTTGTTTCTGTTTTGTTTTGCTACTGAAGAATAGTTCTGATGTTTTGACCTAGAAATGGCACCCCTGGAGTGAATCGTTGTAACAGTAACTAATGTGAAAAGTTGATTTGCAGATTTTCCTGTGTGAAATGCTCATTTCATGACATTATAACAAAGCATTTCTTTCAGCATCAGAAGAATAAAGGATTGACATTTATAGAGACTAAAATGCTGAAATTGTTGAAAGGAAAAGTAAGAACCAGGAAATAAAACAATAAGTATTTCTCACCAATACTTTCATATCTATTTGATTAGCCCAACCTGGTACCAGCTGAATGGCATCATGCCTTCCTGGCAAATGCCAAATATCAGGGACCCATCATATCAGAGCCAAACCATGGAGCTTAATCATTTTATAAATCAGATTTGCTTCAGTGATAACAAAAGCAATTTACGTTTGAATTAGAGCTATTCCTCAGATGCCCTTTTATAGGAGCAGCCCTACCAGATTTGTCTTTCTCTAAACTCTTTTTTTTTTTTTTTTTTGGGGGGGTGGGGGATGGAGTCTTGCTCTGTCGCACAGGCTGGAGTGCAGCGATCTCGGCTCACTGCAAACTCCACCTCCTGGGTTCAAGCAATTCTCTTGCCTCAGCTTCCCGAGCAGCTGGGATTACATGCGTGCACCACCACGCCAGGCTATTTTTTTTTTTTTTTTTTGTATTTTAATAGAGACGGGGTTTCGCCACGTTTCCCAGGCTGGTCTTGAACTCCTGACCTAGTGATCTGCCCTCCTTGGCCTCCCAAAGTGCTGGGATTACAGGCGTGAGCCACCGCATCCAGCCTCTCTAAATTATTTTAATCCAAACTATTTCCTTTCCTCTTTTTGGTCCATCACTTACTCAGTAACGTATGTTTATCTCCACTCCTCTCAAACCCAGTGCTGTTTCAAGACCTTTTGTTATTTCTTTATCATCCAAGCTCTTCTCTCCCTAGGCTATGTTCTGGATCTTGATTTCCAATATACCCAGTGGAAAAATCTCATTGCCAGCCATCTTCCACAAACCCTTTAAACTAAGTTATTGACGGCAGATAAGTCTAAATGTGTTGCTCCTTATCGGAACAAACATCCTACTTCAAATTAATTTTTTTAAAAAAGGAAAAGAAAGGTACTACCTATCAAGGCAGTATATGATGCCCCTCGAATGTCACCAAAATGTCTTTTCTCATGAAGCACATTTGAAATAACCCTCCCCAAGAGGAGTATCTAAAAAAGGAGTTTATGGAGCTAACATGCATACCAAAAGGGTGAGGACAAATCCCCAGTAAGCTTATATTGCAGCTTTAAGGATTGGTTAAAGAATTTCATCTTTGCTTCTGGGAGAAGGTGGTACATTATATTAAAATAGCAGACATCTGCATAAGTTGAATTATATTTCTAGTATAAAAGCCAAATATCAGATAATTTGCCGACAAGAGTAAATAACATTGATTCAAACATTAGCTTTTTTTAGGCTATATGTTCTTTTCCAAAACACCATTGTGGTTATTTCTAGCAAATGCTACTTTTATAGGTTAGTGATAAATATGCCATTATTTTGGACCACAGACTTATCAGTAGAGCTTCTAAAGCCCAGCCATTTCTCAATTAACTCTTTCTTAGTCACTAGCCTAGTGGTAGATGATGGTAGAGAATGAATGTCTGCAACTTCTCTCTATCACCTTTGTATACTGCACAAGAGATACTCCTCAGACAGATAATCACTGAAATAGAAGTCTGTCAGTACAAAAATCAGTTTAGTGCCTGCCATAAAAATGTTATTCCTCATCTTTAGTCACTGCTGAAAATTATACTAATATAGACACAATCATAAGCATAATACATTTCATTTCTATAGTACTTCACAGTTTTTACAAAGTTTACTCATTATCTTATTTGAAGCTCAAAACAACTCCATGGTGTTTATAGATTTTTTAAACTGTACAGATAAAGATTAATGAGTTATGTAAGAGTATGGGTTTTATATAGCTTATACATTGTAAAATATTCTAACCTGAAAAATGTATCATTGGACTATATTTTAGAATTATATTGCATTTCTTATAATCTCTCTCTTAGTTTATGAAGAGAGATAGGCACATTTAATAACAAAACAAAACTAGATCTAGAATCCAGATTTTCTAATTCTTTACTCAAGTGCTCATTAGGCTGCTGTATGCACTCCATGCCAAGATACTCCAACCCTTAATTAAAACGAACGATCCCCAGCATCAATTCAGTACCCAAAGCTGCCAATACTGCCACTCTTTGATATCCATGCCAAAACGTTATCAATGACTGTGGATTTCAACATGTGGCCTCTTGAATTACCGTAAAGTATTCATGGAGCTCCCACAGTGTTCAATGGCATTGTTTTAGACCCTACCGAGGGAAGTGTACTTTTCCTACTAGGAAGAGGTCATAAAAATCAGTGACCATCAGATAATAATTATGCCCAGTTTTAATTAACATCAATTCTATAATGGTGATAGGAGATTTTAAGGCTAGAAGCAGAATCAGATAATAAAGACACAGTATTTATTTTATTAAATATATTACTTTAATCAGATTTCATCTTTAATAATTGTATTACATGAACATTTCATTTTTTCCTATGATCTAATATTATTTTCTAAAAGTAACCTGTTGGAAGAATTGTCTTTCCAAATATAATTGCAAATAACGTATTTCATTAGTAGAGCTTTATACATTTTCCAAAAAAAAATGCTTGTATTTATGCTTTTCATGTTTAATATAAATTTTGATGCTAGAAGTGAGGCAGTATTATAACAACTTTAGAGATGAGGACACAGAGGATTAGATTTACCATCTCTCAACTACTAGATAATGGCAAAAAAAGCTTTTAAAAATCAAGTCTTAAGGCAAAAATTCACATTTTCAAAAGGATTTTGGAGACGCACGGTTTTTGACTGTGTCTAGTGTTGACTTGAGGCAGTTCTTCCACTAATACACTAATAGGTCGCTGTTGTAATTGAGGAATATAAAACCACAAATATAAGCTAGGAATATACAAATATAAATGTCAGGCATGTCCAGTAACAGAATTAGAAAAATTGTAGATGTTGCTCATTGTTATTTTCTATTTCACTCCCATAGAAATATACACTGGATGATAATTATGTTTGGAGTGTATATGCCAGGAAGTAAATTTAGCAATTCACCTCATGATGGGTTCTGTTAAAGAAACAAAAACACCGATGGAGACACAACCTCAGGATAGACTAATATAATTTCCCTGGATCCTTTATATGTTCTTAGAATTTCCTGTAATTCAAAGATTTATCTCTATGCCAACACATATTTTAAATCAATTGTCAGGGTCTTTTTAAGCACATATTAACCGAAAGTTTTATCATAAGTTCTTTTTATAGAAAGAAAATGGGGGCCGGGCGCGGTGGCTCATGCTTGTAATCCCAGCACTTTAGGAGGCCGAGGCATGTGGATCACGGGGTCAGGAGATCGAGACCATCCTGGCTAACGTGGTGAAACCCCATCTGTACTAAAAATACAAAAAAAAAAAAAAAAAATTAGCCCGGTATGGCTGCGGGCGCCTGTAGTCCCAGCTACTCGGGACGCTGAGGCAGGAGAATGGTGTGAACCTGGGAGGTGGAGCTTGCAGTGAGCCGAGATAGTGCCACTGCACTGGAGCCTGGGCAACAGAGCAAGACCCCATCTCAAAAAAAAAAAAAAAAAAGAAAAGGGAAAAAAAATCCTCTTCCCATTTCCTGCCAACTAGAGAACAGTCACAGATCTATGATCTGCCATTCACTTAAAGATTATTCATAGCAGCAAGGCAGTGAGATGGATGAAAATTTGGGAGTGATTGAATCCAGTGACATAGCAACAAATACCAAATATCTGTGGAGGTACTGCCAGTGGAAGCACACTAACAAAAACCATACTGTGGCAGAATTTGGTTGTTCTTTGATCCCTGGTCTTTATCAGAGTATGTTATCCCAAACAAATTTTGATTCTGACTTAATTTTTTTTTTTTTTTTTTTTTTTGCCCAAAGAAGTTAACTTCAATAGTTTGTTTATAGTTTGCAATTAAGATTTATGACAAATTCAGAACTAGGTGATTAAAAAGAGGTGGTGTGTCTGTGTATGTATGTGTATGTGTGTATGTGAGAGAGAGAGATACAGTATGCGTACAGCCTGTGAGCATACACAGTACATTGTGAGAAATTTGCTTGCATTAATTCATTCTTCAGTTGTAAAATACGTCTTCAGTGTGTTCTTATCAATGATCTTTTAGCTGAATAGAAAACAATTCAAGTCGGCTGATTGTGAAAAGATTCACAAAACAAAAGAATTGCCTTTGCATTGGAGAGACACATATTCCTCTGTAAAAGGATAAAAGAAAGTAAGAATGGAGGGCAGATGTGGCTATATTTAAAGGGAACAGGCAGATAGCTAAGGGTCTTGATGCTGCTCTGTTCCTTTATCTCACAGGGAATTCTTGATCGATAAGACAGAGCATTTGAGCTCTGGGTCTCTGCTTCTCTGCTTTGAATGTTAGCGATATAAAATGTGAAAAATGTCAAAAGATCCCAGTTTTACGGGAATAATCAAAAGTGTGACCTTGCTATTGTAGATAGTAACATGACAAGCTTGATTATCTCCCTCTTTCTCCTGATTCATCAATTTTTTTCTCTCTTGCTCCTGTACCATTCCCACCAGAACAGAAACATGCTATACTATTATCCCTTTAAAAACCTATTTTTCCCATGTGCCCTTCTAGCCACTAAAATTTCTTCCATTTTTTTAAGCAAATGTTGTCCAAATAGGTTTCCCTCCTTGCTGTCTGTACTTTTCCAGTTCCCATTCTCTCTCATCTGGATTTCTTCCAGCCCCTTCTCCTGATTTAATCTCAACAAATCATAAATTACTGTCGTGTTGTCATATCTGCTGGTCACTCCTGAATGTTTGTCTCTGTCAATCCATCAGCAGCCTGATGAAGTGATCCCTCCTATACTCATGAATCTTCATCTTCACTTGGCCTTCATGAGATCACATGCAACTGGTGTTTCTCAGCCTCACTGATCATCCATATTTAGGTTCCTTTCTGAATCCTTATAATCTACCTAAACTTTAAATGCCGAATTACCTTGGAACTTTTGTATTAGCTATACTCATTCCCTAGGTAATATTTAGTCACATGGCTTTGAATAATAAATCTATAGACCAGCTCTCAAATATGTGCCTGTAAAAACAACCTCATTCCTATCTATAGACTTAGTCCAAATGTCCACTCAAAATGTCCCTTTTGATATATAATTGGTAAATTAATTTATATATATATACATACATATAAAATTGGGAAGTCAAGCTTAACTAAATTTGAACCACCCTCAAATCTCTTACTTCTAAAATCTTGTGCATTTCAATAAAGGTTACTCAAGCCACTGTTGGAGTTGTTTATGACTTTTCTCTCTTGCTCACACTCAAAATTCAATCTGTTAGCAAAATCCTGTCACTGAAACTCAAAATACATCCCAAACTCAACCACTGCTCATCACCTCCAGCCTTATGCAAGCAATCATTGTCTTGCTTATGCTACCATGTATCTGATCTCCCTGGTTCTACTGGTGCATCTCTTTCTCTTCTTTTTTGTAGTTATAAACAATTTTTATTATTGTTATTATACTTTAAGTTCTGGGATACATGTGCAGAATGTGCAGGTTTGTTACATAGGTACACATATATCATGGTGGTTTGCTGCACCCATCTACCCATCATCTACATTAGGTATTTCTCCTGATGCTATCCCTCCCCTAGCTCCTCACCTGCCAACAGGCCCTGGTGTGTGATGTTCCCCTACCTGTGTCCATATGTTCTTATTGTTCAACTCCCACTTATGAGTGAGAACATGCAATGTTTGGTTTTCTGTTGTGTTAGTTTGCTGAGAATGATGGTTTCCAGCTTCATCAGTGTCCCTGCAAAGGACATGAACTCATCCTTTTTTATGGCTGCATTGAATTCCATGGTGTGTATACGCCACATTATCTTTATCCAGTCTATCACTGATGGGCATTTGGATTGGTTCCAACTCTTTGCTATTGTGACTAGTGCTGCAATAAACAGATGTGTGCATGTGCCTTTATAGCAGAATGATTTATAATCCTTTGGGTATATACCCAGTACTGGTGCCTCTTTACAGATTCTTTTGTACACATTAGTCACAATTCTCTATCATAGGCTGTAATATTCATTCATCTATTTAAATAGCTCTTGTGGTTTCCTACATAGCTCAAAACATGCACAACTTCTAGCATGGCATACAGGGTCCCATGGATTTAAATGTATCCCTCCACCCACTCCCTCCACCATCACTATCAATCAGTCATCATCTCTGACCACTATTCCATATCTCACACCACTCATCTCACTAGCCTCCTTACTGTTCCTCATCCTGCTTTAGGGACCTTTGCACTTGCTGTTGCTTTTGACTTCATCACCCAGAGACCTCATGACTTATTTTTTTTACTAGCTTCATGTCTCTGCTCAAATGTTATTTAATCAGAGACTCCTGAAAACTCTGTAAAACAGCATACTTCCCCAGTCTGTCTGTCCTATTTCTCATTATTTATTTTCTATAATCTGTTACCACTTGAAATAATTTGTGTATGGTATGTTTCATCCTCTAAAGCAAGCTTGTCCAACCCGTGCCCCAGGATGGCTATCAATGTGGCCAAGCACAAATTCATAAACTTTTTTAAAATGTTAGATGTTTTTGCAATTTTTATTTTTTAAAATAAGCTCATTAGCTATTGTAAGTGTTAGTGTATTTTATGTGTGGCCCAAGAGAATTCTTCTTCCAATGTGGCCCAGGATAGCCAAGAGATTGGACACCTCTGCTCTAAAGGGCAAGCTGCATAAAGAAGGCAATATATATATATATTTTTTAACAGCAGTATCTCCAGTGCTTACAATGATTCTTTTGTGCATTGCAGCATAGTGATAACACAGTAACATCGTAAACCAGCAATTAATTTACATTCCCACCAACAGGAGGTTTATCTTTTCTCTAAATCCTTGCCAGCATTTGTTACTAATCCTTATTTAGAAACTCATAAAGAATGAAGGATTATGTTTATTTGGACTATATACTACAAGTGATTTCAATGAAGTTTGAGCCATGAGTGAGGAAACTACAAAAATAAGAAGATGCCATTTCACAAATGGGGCAAAGATGATTTTTCTAGAATGTGATTTTACTATAATTTTGAAATTACTTAGTGTACCATAATAAAATAGACTCTGTATCATTGAATAATTGAATCTTTTCTAGCTTCTTGGTATTAAACTTTGCTGTAGTGAACATCTGGAAATACATTCTTATGAGCTTCTCAATTTTTTTATGCTATAAATTCTAGGAAGTAGAACTATTAAAGTATTTGAAATTTTTAAAGTTCTGGACAAATAGCTCAAATGCCCACTAAGAAATGTATAAAAATGTCTTCTTTTACCAATAGTATATGAAAATTCAAATTTCACCCTCCTATGGACAAACCTAGGCATCATTAAATAAATGCAAAAACAAAACCAAAACAGAAACATTTTACTAATATAAGAGGAGATGATATAATTGTTTTCCATTTTGCATTATTAATGATATTGGATGTCTTTTTACTGGAGATGTTTATATATTTTGTGATTTATCTTCATTTTGGTTCACTTTATTATAAATTCACTTTTATTTTTATATTATCCTCCCTATCTTTTTGTTTTACAAATGTTTTTGCAAACATTCTTGGCTAATTTACCTTTTAAATTTCGTTTATGATGTTGACATATATGTGTTTAAATATTTCTGGGTTTTTTTCTTTATTTCTTTTTCCCATTTAACAGTTAGTAGTCTTTTTCCATTCTGAGAGTATTGTGTCTGTGCTTTCTTCTTTATGATTTAATTTTTAATTCATATAAGAATTATTTTGGAGTTTTCTTAGTCAATTTGTGCCACTATAACAGAATACCTGAGACAGGGTAATTTATAAAGGACAGAAATTTATTTTCTTATCATTCTGGAGGCTATGAAGTTCAAGATCGAAGTGCTGGGTCTAGTGAGGGCCTTCTTCCTGCATCCTCACCAGGCATACAACAGAAGGGCAGGTTCCCAAACACTCCATGCTTATTTTATAAGGTTTTTAATCCCATTTATGAGGAAGAGGCCCTCATGTCATAATTACCTCCTAAAGGCTCCACTTCTTAATACTACCACATCAACCACACCTGAATTTTGAAGGGAACATATTCTAACCATAGCGGGAATACATTGCAAAATGAGGTTCTTATTTTATTTTTCTCCAAAAGGTTAATCAATTGCTAGACAAGCATTTGTGAAATAATCCTTTATTTCCCACCCCACCGTTTTTTAATGTTTCCAGCATATTAGTTATATTTTACTGATCTCTTTACACATAATCACTAGTATACTACAATTTCAACACCCTTGCCTTGCAAACAGTTAGTGGCTATGACTATCTTGCTTACTGTTACAGCTTTAGAACCCAGAAGGCACTCAATAAGTATTTTTAAATTATGAATGAGGTGGGAGTTACTGTCATGAGAAACTAGAGAAATTGAAGAGTTTATCTGTGGACTGGCTATGTAACAAGTCAGAGCCTTTGCCTAGATAACTGTTTGGCCACCAAGTCCAGACTTCTTAAATGTTCAACAATGGTCTCAACCAGGAAAATGACATACCAGATAAGAAATATTCATTTTTAAGAAACTTGAGGTAATACTAGGAAAATAAAGTTTTCTCCAAGAGAAGGGTGTTGCAATCTTCACCACCTGCTGGTTAACCGCATTGCTTAGGAAACATGACAAAGTGAATGTGATGTTTCTTTAAGAATAGCAGATAGCCAGTAGTACTGTTTCTAATATTGTGGTGTGCACTTCTCTGCCTTAGAATACAGTGATGCGTTGAGTAACTCCTGAACCTAGTCATTAAGGACTTTGTTGGACCTCGCTATGATATCCTGTACTCCAAAGGTCAAAGTTTAGATCTGGAAGTAGAAAAGCTAAAGGATATGGGACTGATGTCACTGAATCCAGTCTATCCCCCAAATTAAATCTCCAATTTCTAATACAAGCTTGTTTTGTTTTGTTGTTGTTGTTGTTGTTGTTGTTTGGTCACATTTACCATATAAACCTGGCCAAATACTGTTCCTAGATTAGCCTTTTTTGTTTTCCTCTCCCTGACCCTCCTTACTATCCTTTATTATACTACTTATGCGAGTATACAGTGATGTCTGTGTGTGCAGTTTCCTCAGGTTTAACTTCTAAAGATTAGGGACTGTGTGTAGCATAAGATGTTATACAGGAAATATTTTAATAAATGTTTATTGAACTCAATTAGTCCTGTCATATAATATTGGAACAGCAAAATAAATTTTTTAAATGAAGGTTCCAGTGAATTACATCTCAATCATTGAATTATAGACTCTAAGAGTTTAAAAAAGTCCTCTTCCAATACTTGAAATTTCATTTCAAATCTTTGTTTCTAATAGTGACCCAAACTCTATTTGACCATATAATGATGAGAAGCTTTTGACCTCTGGAATAGCTTATTTCAATACCGGTAAGCTCAGAGTTTAAAAATTCCACCTTTAGATTGGCAAAAACACATCATTCTTTAGCTCCTACCCAGAACAAGTCTGTGAATTTTTCCTTCTTATGACAACCATTTAAACATATCAAGACAGCTCATGTTTCCTACATCTTTTATTCTTCAGAAAATAAACATTCCCAGTCTTCCAATGTCTTAATAGTGTGGGGTTTTGACTTCTTTCTTCATTCTTCAAAGGTCACCTGAGCACTACAGAATCAGGCAGGACTGTAACCACCACCCTCAACCTTGTCCTTCATTCTCTATTATATTTAAACCAAATCACACAGCTCATACCATGGTCACTGTGAGATGGCTTTAGCACATTGTGAACTAAACCCCCTAAATCCTTTGTATATAATAGGATTCTAAAGTGAGCCTGTCCACCTTTAACTAGAAGCCATGCAAATGGACTTTTTTAGACCAAAGTGAAGAGTTGGTTTATACCCATTAAGTTTTACATGGTTTGATCTGTACATTGTTCCAGCCATGCCAAGATATCTGGGAATCCTGGTCTGTCATCCATTGTGATTACCTGTCTTCCCTGATTTTTATCACCTCCATACTGGAAGGCCTTATCTTCATCCACTCATTCCAGAGCCAGCACCAGATGTCCTGACTGGATAAGCCTTTTTTGAGGACCATTTCCTTGATGCTTTCAAAGTACTTTATACTGAGGTGAAGTAAGACACTATGAAGTATTGAAACCACACATTGCGTCACTATCAGCCCGCATAGCTGTAACGGGGGGGAAGCATGTTGGTACCAGAGGCCCAGCTCTTCTCTGTCACCATTTCCTGCTACATGGTCTCTACAGCCATCTCCAGGTACTCCCATCTTGAAGATACATTGACTTCTGTGGGCCTCTGTCTTGAGATGGATGGCATTTAGGACGGATCCATCAGTAACCTGTGTGAGAAACGGGAAATCAACTCAGCACATTGCCTACGTGTTCTTAGGAAAAAAAAAAACTATTTTAAATAAACTCTCCAATCGATCTAATTGTATATGATATGGCTAAGGGAGGATTACTTAGCAAAGCATGCCCAGGTCCAAACAAATACCAACCAGTCCTTCCACAATATGTTTTGAAAAAAAGAATTATTTCCCATTTGGATAAGCAAAATTATTACATTTCTCAGTTCCTGTGTGTCTAGATGATACCTTGAAGCTGATTTCTGACCAGTGAGGTGCTGGTAAAAATGATTCATGCCACATTCCTGCTACACCCAATAATGTCCTTCACAGTCTCCCATATGCTCTCCTTACTCACACAGCTGGACATGAAGGGCTAAGATATGAAGAGCCAGGAGAGGGAAAGAGCACAGACTTTGAGGTTACTGCCTGGAACAAGGTTGCCAAAAATGCACCTGATCAAGGAAATCTGCAATAGATTTGCTTGAACTGGAAATAAACCTTTAGGATTATAGTACATGTATGGAATTTGTTCATTCCAGCAAGAAAACCCTCACTAACACAATTAGTATAAACTTAGTGTTAAAGAAAGATAATTCTGACACTTGTTAAAAACCGTAAAGACTTTATTCAGTATTATTGCAATGCGAGTTGCAATAAGGGAGAGCGATAGGGCTCAACTATGAATATAACAATGACAAGTGGAGATTTATAGCCAAGGAGCAGGGTGAGGGGAGGCAGTGGATGAAGAATCACTAAGAGGCAATATGAAAGGTAAGGGGATTCTTACCAAACTCACCTAATAGTTTTCCTTCTTTTTTTTTATTATTATTATACTTTAAGTTTTAGGATACATGTGCACATTGTGCAGGTTAGTTACATATGTATACATGTGCCATGCTGGTGTGCTGCACCCACTAACTCGTCATCTAGCATTAGGTATATCTCCCAATGCTATCTCTCCCCCCTCCCCCCACCCCACAACAGTCCCCAGAATGTGATGTTCCCCTTCCTGTGTCCATGTGATCTCATTGTTCAATTCCCACCTACCAGTGAGAATGCGCAGTGCTTGGTTTTTTGTTCTTGCGATAGTTTACTGAGAATGACGATTTCCAATTTCATCCATGTCCCTACAAAGGACATGAACTCTTCATTTTTTATGGCTGCATAGTATTCCATGGTGTATATGTGCCACTTTTTCTTAATCCACTCTTTCATTGTTGGACATATGGGTTGGTTCCAAGTCTTTGCTATTGTGAATAATGCCGCAATAAACATACGTGTGCATGTGTCTTTATAGCAGCATGATTTATAGTCCTTTAGGTATATACCCAGTAACGGGATGGCTGGGTCAAATGGTATTTCTAGTTCTAGATCCCTGAGGAATCGCCACACTGACTTCCACAATGGTTGAACTAGTTTACAGTCCCACCAACAGTGTAAAAGTGTTCCTATTTCTCCACATCCTCTCCAGCACCTGTTGTTTCCTGACTTTTTAATGTTTGCCATTCTAACTGGTGTGAGATTGCATCTGATTGTGGTTTTGATTTGCATTTCTCTGATGGCCAGTGGTGATGAGCATTTTTTCATGTGTTTTTTGGCTGCATAAATGTCTTCTTTTGAGAAGTGTCTGTTCATATCCTTCGCCCACTTTTTGATTAGCTTTCCTTCTAAAAGCAAGCCAAAACTTATACATCAAAGGTAGGGGATAAGGAACTTGATCAGACACGAAGGGTGATCAGACACCAAGACTAGCGGGTTGATATAGCAGGACTCTCTGCTAAAACTGGGCTGAGGAGGTCAAAGACATGATGGGTGAAGGTAAAGGCTTGGTTGAAAAGAGGGCTTCAAAGAGCCAAACTGAAATTTGGTCAAGAAAAGACTTTGCCATTAGCAGTGAGTAATGCCAGTCAACACTGCAAATTGTGATTGGTATTATAAACTTTCTGACTTAAATAGTAGATAATGTGAAGGAATGGACTTTTCTTTTTGAACACTTTTGTCTAATCTCCCATTCTCTCACCCACTCCTATAAAATCTCTTTCATTTAAATAAATAAATAGAAAACTAAAAAGACTTGTCTAAGTAGTATCTGTTTTTGTGTAATAAGAAGTCAACAGTTTAGGGGCTTTTAAAATAAATATCTAGAATGTCTTATAATATTATGAAAATAGATAAAATAATCTAATCTGGAATTTTAATATGTAATATTTTAATATCTGCAAAAATTGCTTTTAAAGTTTTGTTTTTTCCCCTGAAGACTTATCACAAACTTGTTCTGCTTTACAAGATGCAATACAAGACAAGTTAACATAACTATACTTTCGCAAAAACATATTCCATAGATGAGGTGCTCTAATAAAGTCACATTTTGTATTACATTTCATTGGAATCAAGAAAATATAAAGAAAAGTGAATTAAGGCACAGGAGAAACAATACGGCTTTCACGTTTTGCTTATGGGAGCATGATATTTGTAACTGCTAGAAAACTACCCCAAAAATGCTTTTTGATTACTTTCAAATCCACTGGTTTGCTACAAGGGTACATAATTTATAAGATCAAGATATCATAACGAATACCATAAGAGATGATAGTTTATGAAGAAAAACTAGCAAGCCAATGAAAAAATATCAGAATTTATGCTTCTAAAAAATAAACGTAGAAAGAAAGGATGGAATAAGGTACAGTGGTGTCTCATTTGTATCCTCTTAGATACAAATATAAGAGGAAGTATATTAAAAGTATCTATCCCTGCGGTGAAGACTTGTCAATTTTGAAAACTTATCTAGATACTGTCAAAAAAATAATAAAGTTACCTTTTTCTCATGAGGTTTACAGTCACACATGACTTAACAGAGAAACATTCCAATAAATGTTTCATTAGGCGATATTGTCATTGTGAGTACATAATAGAGTATACTTACATAAACCTAGAGAGCACAGCCTACTACACACCTAGGCTATATGATATAGCTGATTGCTCCTAGGCTACAAGCCTATACAACATGTTACTGTACAAAAAACTGTACGCAATTTTCACACAGTGGTAAGTATTTGTGTATTTAAACATATCTAAACACAGAAAAGGTACAGTAAAAATATGGCATTATAATCTTATGATACCATCATCGTATATACGATCTGCCATTGATCAAAATCTCATTTTGCAGTGCATGACTGTCTATTGTAAACAGATATTTTCTCTAGTTAATTTTGAATAATTTAATACACAATCAATATTTGTATTAGTAAAATATTATGTTGCAAAAAGCTCTAACATTCATCATTTTCTATTATCTGTCATGTGATATTGCATTATAACAAAACAATTAAGAAGCAAAGAAACAAGGTGGGAATTGGAAGGAAAATTATTGCACAAAAATTTTTAAATAACAGAATTGTTAGAGGAAAAACTAGTAATATATCATTTGTATTTGAAAATGCACTACAACCGAATCAGAACCATATTTTCTACCTAGAGGTGGAATTTCAGTGTTAGAGAGATAAGAGATAAAGACAGAGACTAAAAAACTCTCTTTTGCCATCACATAGGCCAGTGATGCAGAAGGACAAAGAGTAGTAGCAATCAGATGAAAAGAAATTATGTATTTGTTGTATAGCTTTGATTTTCCCAACAAGAGAGACTGCTATTGCAAATGGTTTGATTTTCTCGGAGGTCAAAAGCAGAAAGTAGTAGTACAGATTGAAGAAATAAGGAATACTGGAGAAAGTTACAGTGTTAATGGTAACAACTATAATGACTTTATAATTTTACCAATTTAACTTAGTTTTGGCAATTTTAAAACCATCAAAACTCATGCATAATAGAATTACATACATCAGTAAGCAAGTGCACATCCCCAATATTGACACAAAACCCTAGAAACTAAGAAACACTTCAAGATAAATGCTACATAAAGTTCATTGAATTTTTTCTTGATTTTCCAGCCAGGTATTTTTACTTTTGTAAAAATGACAGTGAATTAGGCATCAAAGATACAAAAAAATCCTTAGAATATTTCTGCAAAAGAATATAATTTCTTGTGACTCTGTTCACTACATGATGTGAAGAAACTAAATAAACAGCATTTTAAACATTGAATTATCAATGTAAAGTGACTGGTTTAAATAACAAGACCTGTGTTCCACATGGCAGTATACTGCCACAAATGGATACAGCTCCACAAGTGCATTTCATTATTTGAGTTCTGAAAAACTATTAAAGTAGTTGCTGACAATTTCATTTTTGCCTACAATACTTGTTGCTGGCTCTGTTTTCATATACTAAGACACTGAAAGATCATTCCATCATATTCACTGCTTTTCAAGCCAATAATAATTAATAAATTTAATTATGTTAATTTAATATTAAAAGAAACTCATTCTGTACAATAATTTCTACCAGTATCACCACATTAAAGGTGTTTTTTTGTTTGACTCTATTTTAGTATTTATGTGCTTTATGGATAGCATACTTTATTAAATTTCATAAGAGAATCATACTTCCTATATGACACACACTTCTGTAAGAATATAGGACAATACCACAAACAGGATTTAATAAAAATCATGGCACAATATTCTTCTATGGGATTTCATCTAGGATAAATCAATTTGCTGTACACTATAGAATATTTGGCTATGGCTATAAATTCGTCTTTTAAGAATTTTGGTGACAGGCATCATCTTGGCTAGTGCTCGTTGGTGCTAGCTTTCTTTCACTCTTTCTACATACAGATGTGGAATACAGAAATACAAAAATACTTCAGATTTAGAAGTGTACTTCAGGCCGGGTGCGGTGGCTCAAGCCTGTAATCCCAGCATTTTGGAAGGCTGAGGCCAGTGGATCACCTGAGGTCAGGAGTTTGAGACCAGACTGGCCAACATGGTGAAATCACATCTCTACTAAAAATACAAAAATTAGCCAGGCATGGTGGTGGGTGCCTGTAATACCAGCTACTGGGGAGGCAGAGGCAAGAGAATTGATTCAACCTGGGAGGTGGAGGTTGCAGGGAGCTGAGGTCGTGCCACTGTCCTCCAGCCTGGGTGATAGAGTGAGACTCCATCTAAAAAAAAATAATAATAATAAACATTTATTTCAGATTACTCATAGACTTTTAGTAAGTCATCTATAAACAACCTTTTAAATTTAGATATAGCAGGTCTTATGTCAGAACAAACTTTAGACTAGGTAAAGCTGGAAAATAATATATTCTATCCCATCCTCTAGCTCTTCAAGCTATCTACCATTTTGGTTATCTAAATTAATTTACCTATTGCAAAAGACCATGGAAAAGAGCTTGGATATTTTCTTTCTTTGGCCTTAACCAATCAAGAAGAAAGGAATTCTTTACTGAGTAATTTTTCCATCCTGACAAGGTTTGATTTTCTAAATAGCTACCATAATTGATTTAAGTACAATATTGTACCCACATAGGAGAAGAAACTAAAACTGAGCCAGATTTAGATGATGTAGGTTAGGCATTACCAAGAAGTTGCACCTGAGACTGATTCTATGCCTCCGTTTCCTCATCTATTAAATGTCAATAACAAAATAACCTGCATCAGAGAGCATCAATTAAGGAACAATGGTGTAAAGTGCTTATATTACCTGGCACAAATTAAGCATGCTACAGATGTTTTTGCTCATTATTTCCTATTTGTTTATTCAAACTTTGGTACTTTTTTTTTAAGTTCAAAGAATTCAATTTCTCATTATTTAAAATGTTTCCATTCTTTTATACTTGCAACATGTCTTCTAGCCTCAATTAATGAATTGAAAAAATAAAACAGAAAAGAGTTTAAGATGTATTGAATTATATGAAAATTTCTTTAAGTGCCAATTAAAGTAGCAAAGAGAGTTGGTATAGCATATATTGATTTTTTAAAAAAGAATGAGTAGGTGTTTGTGTACTGAAAAGACAGAAAGGCCATTGAGGGTAGAAAAGAAAGTCATAGAGATACATTTTGTAGTTAAGAACATAAAAATGTGAGATCTCAGAAGGTAGAAGACTACATTGCAAATACAGATAAATACATTACTTGTGGGGCATGCAAAGCAGGTAAGCTTCATTATATAAACAAGCTAAAGTATAATTATAAAAACACAAATTGTATCAAGCATTTAACATGTACCAATTGTGGGAGCAAGTGCTTATGCTATTAAATACTTGAAACAATCTTATGAGCTAAATGCAGTTGTTAGTCACCACTCACTAAACTGTAAAGCTGAGGTTTAGACAAACTATTCATTTGCTTCTGCTGCCAAAGCCTTTATTTGAACATAGGCAAGTAGAATCCAGACCTTTTGTTCTTAAACACTGCAATATTCTACAATTTTAATAAATCATATTTTTATATTATAATGTAAAATACAAATTGTCCAAAGACGCTGACTTACTGTGATTACTTAGTAATATTTAATTGTGAAAATCAAATTTTAGCTTGGACTCTAATTAGCATAAATGTATCTTTAAAGTACTGAAAATGTCTCATGAATTTTTTTTTTATATCATAGCTTTGTTGCTGACATTCCATAGCACATTTCTGTTACCTTTTGCGGTCTTATTTTTTATGTGAAATTCAAATATAATAGATACTCTGAAAGTTTCTATTCCAAGTTTTGTTTTATTTTTAACTAGAATTAAATAAATTAAATATGTCTTTATCAGCTCATATGTCAATACTTTTAAGAATGATACTTTTTTTTTTTTTTCAGGCGGAGTCTCGCTCTGTCACCCAGGCTGGAGTGCAGACGCTCATTGCAAGCTCCGCCTCCCGGGTTCATGCCATTCTCCTGCCTCAGCCTCCCCAGTAGCTGGGACTACAAGCGCCCACCACCACGACCGGCTAATTTTGTTTCTATAATTTTAGTAGAGATGGGGTTTCACCGTGTTAGCCAGTATGGTCTCGATCTCCTGAACTTGTGATCCACCCGCCTCAGCCTCCCAAAGTGCTGGGATTACAGGCGTGATCCACCACGCCCGGCGAATGATACATATTTTTTAATGGGCAATTTGGCAGTGGCTATCAAAACCAAATTACATATGTTATGTACACATACATATCTGATTCTCTATTTTTTTTTTTAATTTCAACTTTTATTTTAGATAGAGGGGCATATGTGCAGATTTGTTACCTGGGGATATTGTGTGATGCTGAGATTTAGATCCTGTCACCCAGCTAGTGAATGTATATCTGATAAGAAGTTTTTAACCCACTTCCCTTCCTTCTACCCTCCAGCATTACGCAGTGTCTATTGTTTCCATATTTATGTCCATGTGTGCTCAATGTTTAGCTCCCACTTTTGGTTTTATGTTCCTGCATTAATTTGCATAGGATTGTGGGCTCCCACTTCATTCATGTTACTGCAAAGGACATGATTTTATTCTATTTATGGCTGCATGGTATCCCATGGTGTATATACCACATTTTCTTTATCCTATCTACCATTGAGGAGCACCTGGGTTGATTCCATGTCTTTGCTATTGTTAATAGTACAGTGATGAACATACAAGTGCATGTGTCTTTAAGAATATAAATCATTCTACCAACAACAGGACATATGCACTCATGTTGATCACTGCACTATTCACAGTATCAAAGATATGGAATTACTTCTAGGTATTTATGCATACAAACCATATCCAAATGGTATATTGATTTTGGTTTGCTCAACTCAACTTTATGCCTAATATTAAATGATAAGATTTACCTATTCTCTAGCCTTTACAATGCTAGAGTCCATGACCTAAAACCAATACAAAAGACTTTGGGATCAGACTCAGCTGAATTCAAATCTAAGATCTGACATTTATTCAATTTGGCTATGACTGTAATTTCAGAAAAGTATTAAATTTACTTAATGCCCAGCTTTCTTGTTTTTACACTGCAAATAATAATACTTAGATCATATGTTTCCAGTGAGGATTATAAGATGTAGTATTAAAATGCTGAATGCATTGCCAGATATAATAGAGTTTCAGAAAAGAGTACTGCCAATGTCATTCGTATGGTTATTGTTACTGCTGTTATCACTAAGATGTGGTCAGCTTTTCCCTCTCCCAAAGTCACCTATCCTAGTTCCCTTGATCATTGATGTTCATATGCTTCCAGATTTTCTATGTTATTGTGGAAAATTAAAAAAAAAAGCCATTCTCTCTTTAAGCGCTCTCACCAGGGAATATCTGTTTACTAGTAGTTAACTGACCATGGTGTATATGTAATACCCAAACTCCTACTAGGAGGGATGCTCTTGAGGGAATGTTCTGTAGTATATCCAATGTTCTCAGTATAGTGAAAAACGTGAAGCAAAAGCCTTCTGAGACTTAAGCTAGAGTTTTCTTTAAACAATTTAGGATCAAAGTAATACACTAATATGGTTTGGCTGTGTCCCCACCCAAATCTCATCTTGAATTGTAGCTCTCATAATTTCTACGTATTACGGGAAGGACCCGGTGAAAGATAATTGAATCATGGGGGCAGTTTCTCCCATACTGTTGTCATGGAAGTGAAGAGGTTTCATGAGATCTGAGGTCTTTATAAGGGGAAACACTTTTGCTTGGTTCTCATTCTCTCTGTTGCCTGCTGTGCTGTGAGACATGACTATCACCTTCTGCCATGATGGTGAGGCATCCCCAGCCACATGGAACTGTGAGTCCAAGAAACCTCTTTTTCTTTATAAATACCCAGCCTCAGGTATGTCTTTATTAGCAGTGTGAGAATGCACTATTATATAATTTAAAGAACTGCCTGTTCATGCCAACCCCTACATCTCCAAGCTCCAGTACTACCACCACAGCCCCAAGCTTCAGTGAACCCAGGGACCAGCTCTGCCCCAGTAGACCACAGCACCTAGCCAGTTCCCAAAAACTCAGGCTCCATACCCACCACCATGGACCCCAGGTGTATTAATTCATTTCCACACTTCTAAAAAGAACTGTCTGAGACTGGGTAATTTATTTAAAAAAATAAAAGGAGGTTTAATTGACTCACAGTTACACATGGCTGGGGTTGGCCTCAGGAAACTTACCATCATGATGCTAGACAAAGGGAAAGCAAGGCACGTCTTACATGGCAGCAGGTGAGAGAGAGAGCAGGGTAAACTGCCACTTATAAAACATCAGATCTTGTGAGAACTCACTATCACAAGAAGTCCATGGGGAAAACCACTCCCACGATCCAGTCACCTCCCACCAGGTCCCTCATTTGACACATGGGAATTATGGGAATTATAATTGAAGATGAGATGTGGGTCAGGGCACAGAGCAAAACCATACTGCCAGGACACAGGCTTAACTCATGGTCCCAGACACAAAGCCCATGACTGTGGACCTCAGCACCAGGCCAGAATGTGGACTCATGGTCAGAACTGTTCTTATGAAATAATATGGCAGGCCCACTCTAGTATCAGGCCAGTCTCCATGGCTCCAGGCTCAGAGATTTCCAGGGTTCAAGCCTACTCCAGTGGACCAAGGGTTGAGGCCTAAAACAGTAGACCCCAGTGCCAGGCTTTAGGCTTTACCCCACAGATCCATGCTCCAGGCCTATCCCTATGGAACCGGGTTCCAAGTCTAGCCCATTGTCCCGGTATGCAACCTACCCATTGAACCTCAGTTCCAAGCCAGCAAAATGAATAAAAATGAATAATAACTGCTTATGAGATTTCTGAGACAGAATCAAAAGAGCAAAATTTTAAATTATAAGAGTATAAGGAGGAGAAGACAAAGAAAAAAAGCCAGAAAATTTATTTAAGTAAACACTAGAAGAAAACTTTGCAAATGTGGGGAAACACATAAGTATTCAGATACAGAAAGGTCAAAAGTCTCCAATTATATTCAATTCAAACAAGACCATAGCAAGACAATTTATAATCAAACTGTCTAAAGCCAAAGACAGGCTGGGTATGGTGGCTCATGCCTGTAATCCCAGCACTTTGGGAGGCTGAGGCAGGCAGATCATTTGAGGCCAGGAGTTCGAGACCAAACTGGCCAATATGGCAAGACCATGTCTCTACTAAAAATACAACAACAACAAAAAAAAATTAGCTGGGCATAGTGGCGCAAACTTGTAATCACAACTACCCAGGAGGCTGACGTATGAAAATTGCTTGAACCTAAGAGGCAGAAGTTGCAGTGAGCCAAGATTTTGTCACTGCACTCCAGCATGGGCAACAGAGCAAGACACTGTTTCAATAATAATAATAATAACAATAACAACAATAAAGTCAAAGACAAAGACAGGATTCTGAAAGCAGAAATACAAAAGATGCAAATGACATGTAAAGGAGTTCCAATAAGACTAACAGTGGTTTTCTCAGCAGACATTTTAAAAGGCCAGAGATAATGGGATGATATATCTAAAATGCTAAAGGTTAAAAAAAAAAAAAAAAGCATCAACCAAGAATATGTTACACAGCAAATCTGTCCTTCTGAAATGAAGGACAGATAAATGCTTTCCCAGACCACCAAGAGCTGAAGGAGTTCATTACCAACAGACCTACCTTACAAATAGTAAAGAAGTTTTTTTTCAACAAAACGAATGAAAAAAATGCTAACTAGGTGCCAGGTGCAGTGGCTAATGCCTGTAATCCCAGCACTTTGGGACATCACGATGTCAGGAGACTGCGACCATCCTGGTCAACATGGTGAAACCCCGTCTCTACTAAAAATACAAAAAAAATTTGCTGGTGTGGTGGTGCGTACCTGTAGTCCCAGCTACTCAGGAGGTCGAGGCAGGAGAATCATTGGAACCTGGAAGATGGAGGTTGCAGTGAGTCAAGATCATGCCACTGCACTCCAGCCTGACAACAGAGTGAGACTTGGCCTCAAAAAAACAAAAAAGAATGCTAACTAGAAAACTAAAAACTTTTATACTAAAGTACAAAACTCACTGGTAAAAGTACATAGTCAAATTCAGAATATTCTAATACTGTAATAGTGGTGTATAAGTTAGTTATATCCTTAGCATAAAGGTTAAAAGATAAAACTACTGAAAAGAATAATAGCTACATAACTTGATAAAGAAGACACCATAGAAAAATACATGAATTGTGTGGGGGAGGGGGGAGGGATAGCATTGGGAGATATACCTAATGCTAGATGACGAGTTAGTGGGTGCAGCGCACCAGCATGGCACATGTATACATATGTAACTAACCTGCACAATGTGCACATGTACCCTAAAACTTAAAGTATAATAAAAAAAAAGAAAAATACATGAGTTGTGAAATCAAAAATATAAAATGTGAGGGTAGGGAAGGGTAAAAATGTTGAGTTTGTTTTTGTTTACTTTGAGACAGGGCTGCATTCTGTTGCTCAGGTTGGAGTGCAGTGGCACAATTATAACTCACTGCAGCATTCAACTTCTGGGCTAAGGTGACCCTGTCTCCTAAGTAGCTAGGACCAAAGAAGGAGTGTATCACCATGACTGGCTAACTTTCTTTTTTGTAAAAATAGGGTCTCACTATGTTGCCCAGGCTGGTCTCAAACCCTGGCCTTTAGCAATCTTCCTGCTTCAGCCTCCCAAGGTGCTGAGATTACAACCATTAGTCACCATACCCAGTGGAGATTTTTTTTTAATGTGACCAGCATTAGGTTGCTATCAGCTTACAACAGTCTGTTAAGGTTATGTACGATTAAAAGATGTTTTACATATGCCTCATGGAAACCACAAAGAAAAAACCTGTAATAGATACACAAAAGATAAAAAGTAAGTAATCAAAGCATATCACCAGAGAAAATGACCTCATCTTAAAGGAAGACAATAAGAGAGGAGAAGCAACAAAACAACCAGAAACCAATTAATACAATATAAATATTAAATCCTTACCTATCAATAATAACTTTACATGTAAATGGATTAAATTCTTCAAACAAAAGAAATAGAGTGGGTGAATGGTGAAAAAAAAATCAACTATATGTTCCCTGTAAGACTTTAGTTTTAATGACACACACAGGCAGAAAGTGAAGAAATAGAGAAAGATATCCCATTCAAATAGTAAGCAAAAGAGATCCAGAGTGGCTATGACTGTTTCAGACAAAATAGAATTTAAGTCAACATTTTTCATAAGACACAAAAAGGTCATTATATAAAGGAGTCAATTTATCAATAAGCTCCAATAATTTTAGATATACATGCACCTAACATTGGAGCAGCTAAAGATATAAAGAAAGTATTAACAGAACTTAAGGGAAGTTAGATAGAAAGACAGTAATATTAGTAGTAGGAAGTCTCAATATCCCAATTTCAACAATAGTCAGACCATTCATACAGAAAATAAGGAAAACAGTTAACTTGAACAACACTTTAGACATAATGGACTTAAAAAACACATATTGGCAATTCCCTACAACTGCTGCAGCATACGCATTCTTTACAGATGAACATATAACTTCACTGGGAGAGATCATATGTCAGGAAACAAGTTTTAAAAATTTAAGATTGAAATCGTATCAAGTATGCTTTTAGACCACAATTATATGGAACTAGCAATCAATAGCAAGAGAAAAATTGTAAAATTTACAAAAATGTAGAAATTAAACAAGACACACATGACTAAACAATGGGTTACAAAAGAAACCAAATAGAAAATAAAATATATTACAAAGCAAATGAAAATGGAAAAGCAACAGTGCAGAACTTACAGGTTACAGTGAAAGCGATTCAAACAGGGAGATTCATGAAAACAAACACATATATTAAGAAAAAAGAAAGCTCTCAAATAAACAGCAGAACTATACACCTCAGGAAACTAGAAAAACAATAACAAGTGAAGATCAAAGTTGTTAGAAGAAACAAAATAATAAAGATCAGAGCAGAAATCGAATAAGATAAAAAATTAAAAATTATAGGAAAAATAATGAAACTGAGTTGGCTTCTTTTGAAAACATATACAAATTCTGAAACCTTTATTTAGACAAATAAAAAAGTAAAGAAGACACAAATAAATATATGAAGAAATGAAACAGTAGACATCCCAATTGATGTAACAGAAATACAAAGGATAATAAAATACCATGAACAATTATACACCACAAACTGGATAATGTAGGAGAAATGAATACATTCCTATAAACTTACAATGTACAAAGACTGAATCATAAAAAACCCAGAAATTCTGAAAAGAACAATAAATGTAAGGCGATTGAATGAGTATTCAAAACCCAATCAATGAAGAAAATTCGAGGGCTTAATAGCTTCACTGGTAAATTCTAGCAAACATCTAAAGAAGAATTAATGTTAATTGTTCTAAAACATTTCAATAACATTGAAGGAAATGAACACTTACAAACTAGTTCTATAAGACTAGCATTACCCTGATACTAAAGCCAGGAAGAAGAATACAAGAAAATAAAATTACAGGCTAATAACCCTGAAAAACATAGGTGCGAAAAACCTCAACAAGGTATTAGCAAACCTTTCTCAACAGCACATTAAAAGGATCACATGCCATGATCGGGTAAGATTTAGCTCTTGAATGAAAAGATGTTTCAATATGCACAAATCAATCAATATGATATAGCACCTTAATTAGCAGAATGAAGGGTAATAATTATATGACCATTTCAATAAATGTAGAAAATGCATTTGACGAAATCTGAAATATTTTCATGATTAAGAAATCATGATATCTTAGATATAGAAGAAGTGTACCTCAACATAATAAAGGCCATATATGATAAGCCCACAGCTAACATTATACTCAATTGTGCATATCTAAAAGAATTTCCTATCGTCAGAAACAAGGCAAAGATACTCGCTTTCATGACTTCTTTTGCATGTTGTACTAGAAATCCTAGCTAGAGCAATTAAAACAAAATATATCCAAATTCTAAAGGAGGAAGTAAAATTATCTCTATTTGCAGAAGACATAATGTTATATATAGAAAAGCTTAAAGATAACACCAAAAATCTGTCAGAACTAATAAAAAATTTGTAAACTGATAGAAACAACTAATACATAATATATATAATAAAAATAATCAGAAGAAATTGTATACCTTATCTGAAAAAGAAATCAAGAAAATAATCCCATTCACCATAGCAGCAAAAAGAATAAAATAATTAGGAATAAATTTAACCAAGGAGGTGAAAGGACTGTACACTGAAAATTATAAAACATCAATGAAAGAAATTGAAGACAAATAAATGGAAAGACATCTCCTATTTATATCAAAAATAGTTAATATTGTTAAAAATGACCATACTACTCAAATTGATCTACAACTTCAATGCACTCTCTATCAAAGTCTTAATGGCACTCATTACAGAAATGTAAAAAATAATCCTCAGTAAACTATCGCAAGAACAAAAAACCAAACACCGCATATTCTCACTCATAGGTGGGAATTGAACAATGAGATCACATGGTCACAGGAAGGGGAATATCACACTCTGGGGACTGTGGTGGGGTGGGGGGAGGGGGGAGGGGTAGCACTGGGAGATATACCTAATGCTAGATGACGAGTTAGTGGGTGCAGCGCACCAGCATGGCACATGTATACATATGTAACTAACCTGCACAATGTGCACATGTACCCTAAAACTTAAAGTATAATAAAAAAAAGAAACTTACTAAATGACAAAAAAAAATAATAATAATAATCCTAAATTTCACACTGAACCACAGAAGACCCCCAATAGCCATAGCAATATTAAGCACACAGAATAAAGCTGGAGGCATAACACTACTTGATTTCACAGTATTACTACAAAGCTGTAGTAATCAAAACAATGTGGTATTGGCATAAAAACAAACTCATATATCAATGGAACAGAATGCTAAGCTCAATAATAAACTCATGCATTTACAGTCTAACCGGTCTTTGACAAATATGCTAAGAACACACAATGGATAAAGAATATTCTCTTCAGTAGTTGGTGTTGAGAAAACTAGATGTACATATGCAGTAGAATAAAATAGGATACTTATCTCCCACCATCAACTCAAAATGAATTAAGGCTTAAATATAAGACGTGAAACTGAAACTACTAGAAGAAAACAGGAAAAAGTTTATTGACCTTGATTTGGACAAAAAATTTTTGGATATAACCTGAAAAGCACAAACAGCAAAAGTGAAAAAGACAAACGAGACTATCAAACTGAAAAAGCGTCTGCACAGCAAAGGAAACAATCACCAAAGTAAGAGATAATATACAGTTGGAAGAAAACATTTGTGAACCATACATCTGATGAGTAGTTAATGTCTAAAATATATAAGAAACTTAACACATTAGCAAGAAAACAACCCAATTAAAAACAAGCAAAGATTCTAAATAGACATTTCTCAGAAGAAGACATAGGAGTGGCCAACAGGTATGTGAAAATAAAATGTTCGATGTCACTAATCACCAAGGATATGTAAACTAAAACCACAGTGATATAGAACACCATACCTGTTAGAATGAATAAAATTTTTTAAAATAAAAAGGTAAGATAAGTGTTGGCAAGGATGGGGAGCAAAGGGATCTCTTGTAGATTGTTGATGGAAATGTAAATTTTTACTAACATTCTGAGTATGAAGAAATGTGTAAAGAAGAGTGTGAAGGTTCCTCAAAAAACTAAAAAGAGTGGGCAAAGGACATGAACAGACAATTTTCAAAAGAAGACATACAATAGCGATAAACATACAGAAAAACACTCAACATCACTAATCACCGGAGAAATACATAGTGAACCACAATGAAATATCATCTTATGCCAATCAGTATGACTATTATTAAAAAGTCAAGAAAGAATAGATGTTAGAGAGGATGCAGAGAAAGGGACACTTTACACTGCTGGTGGGAATGTAAATTAGTATTAGTACAAACTTTATAGCAAAATATACAGATTTCTCAAAGAACAAAAATAGAGCTAAAATTGGATCCAACAATTCCACTACTGGGTATCTATCCAAAGGAAAAAAAAAACACATTATTTTAAAAAGATGCTGGTACTTGTGTGTTTACTGAAGCATTATTTACAATAGCAAAGATATGGAATCAACCTAAGTATCCATCAATGGATGAATGGATAAAGAAACTGGTCTGTATACACAATATAATATTATTAAGCTGTAAATAAAGAATAAAATCATGTCTTTTGCAGCAATATGAATGGAACTGGAGGCCATATCTTAAGATAAACTACTCAGAAACAGAAAATCAAATACTGTATGATCTCACTTACAAGTGGGAGCTAAATAATGTGTGCATATGGATATAGAGTGTGGAATAATAGACACTAGAGACACAGAAAGGTGAAGGTGGAAGGGAGATAAAGGATGAGCAATTACTTAATGGACACTATGTACATTATCCAGGAGATGGTGACATTAAATGCCCAGACTTTCACCACTACATAATATATCCATTTAGCAAAACTGCACTTGTACACCTTAAATTTATGCAAAACAATTTACAATGGAACTATAATATTACACAGCAATCCCACTTCTGAGTATATATCCAAAGGAAATTAAATCAGCATCTTGATGAGATATCTGCACTTCCATTTTCATTGCAGCATTATATATGGAATCAATATATGTGTCCATACTTTGAAGAAAGGGTGTGTATGTGTGTATATATATCCCATATACATATGCACGTGCGCACACACACACACACACACACACAGTGAGACAGTTTTTAAAAAGATGGAAATCCTACCATTTGCAATCAGAGGATTAACCTGAATGACACTGTGCTAAGTGAAATGAAGCAAGCACCCAAACACTAATACTGTATGATGTCATTTATATATGCAGTCTAAAAAACTGAAACTTATAGGACAGTAGAATGGTGGTAGGCAGTGTCGGAGGGTGGGAGAAGGCGGGTGATGTTAGTTAAAGGGTATAAAGTTTCAATCATGTAGGATGAGTAAGTTCTGGAGATATACAACAAGGTGACTACAGTTGATAATATTTCATGTATTCTATACATAAAACTTGCTTAGAGTGTAGATCTCAAATATTCTCACCACAGAAAAGTAACAATGTGCGGTGATAAATATGTTAACTAGCTTTATTGTGGTTATCATTTTACAATGTATGCATATATCAAAGCCTCACATTGTAAACTGTAAATATATACAGTTTTTGACAATTACACCTCAATAAAACTGAAGAGATACAAAAGAAACTATATGTTATCCCAGTTGCATCAAATGGGATAATTTTTTTTATAAGACTGACATATTCTAGAATATGTGATGCTACACAGGGTTTTCTCTGAAAACTTACTGCTTTTTAGACAATGTTGATATCTCTCAGTAGAAGGAAGAAATGGCATTTTTCCAGAGATCAGAGTTTAAAAGAAAATATTCAGATTTTACTGACATATAGAGTTAAAGGGGGGAAGAACAAATACTGGCTGTTTTGCTTCTCTGCCAAATATTTGAGTCTTATGATTTTCCTCAAAATATGGGTGTTAAAAGAACATCTGGAATTAGAAAATGGAACAAAAACATGTAAGTATAATTATTATCTTTTTTTTCAAATTGAAAACTTTTCTTATCAAAAACCTTCTTCACCTATCATTAGTAACCATGCTTAAAGCCGATTGAGAAGGCTTGATTCTTGAATAAATTTATACATAACTGATACATAAAATTTTTAAACAATTTTTAATTTATCCAAATTTTCTCAAAAATATACAAGTTATAGGTATATGAATGTTTATATTTGTGTATATTTACTGATATGGTTTGGATCTTTGTGCCCACCAAATCTCATGTTGAATTGCAGTCCTCAGTGTTAAAGGTGGGGCCTGGTGGGAGATGACTGGATCATGGTGATACAGTTCTCATGAATGGGTGAGCACCATCCTCTCCATGCTGTTCTGATGATAGTGAATGAGTGAGTTAACATGAGATCTGGTTGTTTAAAAGTGTGTAGCACCTCCCTGTGCTCTCTCTTGGTCCTGTTCCTGCAATATAAGATGCCTGCTCCCACTTTGCCTTCCACCATGAGTAACAGTTTCCTTAGGCCTCCCCAGAAGCAGATGCTGCCAGGCTTTCTGTACAGTCTGCAGAACCATGAGCCAATTAAACCTCTTTTCTTTATAAATTACCCTGTCTCAGGTTATTTCTTTTTTTTTTATACTTTAAGTTTTAGGGTACATGTGCACAATGTGCAGGTTAGTTACATATGTATACATGTGACATGCTGGTGCGCTGCACCCACTAACTCATCATCTAGCATTAGGTATATCTCCCAATGCTATCCCCTCCCCCTCCCCCCACCCCACAACAGTCCCCAGAGTGTGATGTTCCCCTTCCTGTGTCCATGTGTTCTCATTGTTCAATTCCCACCTATGAGTGAGAATATGCGGTGTTTGGTTTTTTGTTCTTGCGATAGTTTACTGAGAATGATGATTTCCAATTTCATCCATGTCCCTACAAAGGACATGAATTTCTTCATGCAGTGTAAGAACTAATATAAAAAATTAGTGCCAAGAGGTGGGGCATTGCTATAAAGATAGCTGAAATTATGGAAGCAGCTTTGGGACTGGGTAATGGGCAGAGGTTGGAAGAGGGTGGAGGGATCAGAATAAGGTGGAAAGATTAGGGGAAGTTTGGAACTTCCTAGATACTAGTCAAATTGTTGTGACCAAACATGCTGAGAGTGATATGAACAATGAAGTAGAGGCTGAGGAGGTCACAGATGGAAAAGAGGAACTTATTGGGAATCGGAACAAACGTCACTTTTGTCATGCTTTAGCAAATAGCCAGGGTTCAATGTGCCCCTGCCCAAGGGATCTATAGAACCTTGAACTTCAGAGTGAACATTTAGGGTATCTAGTGGAAGCAATTTCTAAGCAAAGTGTCAAGATGTGGCCTAGCTACCTCTAACAGGCTATGCCCATACGTATGAACAACAACAACAACAACAATGATGTAAAACTGGAACTTATATTTAAAAGGGATGAAGACCACACAACTTTGGAAAATTTGTAGCCCAGCATGTGAAAGAAAACCCCATTTTCAGGGGAGGAATTCAACCAGGCTAAATAAATTTGCATAAGTAAAGAGGATCCAATTGCTGATAGCCAAGATATTGGAGAAAAGCCTTGAAGGAATTTCAGGGACCTTTGTGGCAGCCCCTCCCATCATAGACCTCAAAGCCTAGGAAGACAGAATGGTTTCCTGGGTCAAGCTCTGGTTCCTATCACCCCATACTGCCCTACATAGCCTCTGGACACTCCTCCCTGTACCCCAGCCACTCCAAATCCAGCCATGGCTAAAAGGGGCCCAGGTACAGTTCTTGCTGCTGTTTCAGAGGGTGCAAGCAGTAAGCCTTCACAGCACCCACATGGTATTAATCCTGCAGGTGCATAGAGTGCAAGAGTTGAGATTTGGGAGTCTCTGCCTAGATTTTGGAGAATATATGGAAAAGCCTGGATGTCCAGGCGAATGTCTGCTGCAGGGGTGGAGACCTCATGGAGAATCTCTACTAGGGCAGTGCAGAGGGGAAATGTAGGGTTGGAGCTCCCACACAGAATGACCACTGGGGTGTTGCCTAGTGGAGCTGTGAGAAGAGAGCCACCATCCTCCAGACCACAGAGTGGTAGATCCACCAGCAGCTTTTGCACCCTCAGCCTCAAAGAATGGCAGGCAGTCAATGCCAACCCTTTAAAGCAGCCACAGAGGCTGAACCCTGGAAAGCCATGGGGCAGAGCTGCCCAAAACTTTGGGATCCAAGTCCTTTCATCAATGTGCCCTAGATGTGGGAGACAGAGTCAAAGGAGTCTGTTTTTGGAGCTTTAAGATTTAATGACTACTCTACTAAATTTAGGACTTGCATGGGGCCTGTAGCCCTTCTCTTTTGGCTAATGCCTCCCTTTTGGAGCAAGAGTATTTACCCAAAGCTTGTTACCCCCCATTGCATCTTGGAAGCAACTAGTTGTCGATTTTATAGGTTCATAGGTGAAAGAGATTTGCTTTGTCTCAGATGAGACTTTGGACTTTAGACTTTGGAGTTAATATTGGAATGAATTAAGACGTTGCGAGGTTTGAGACCATTGAAAAGAGATACTTACATTTGGCAGTGAGTTATATGAGATCTGGTTGTTTTAAAGTGTTTAAACCACCCCCCACCCCTTGGTCTTGCTCCTGCCATGTAAGACACCTGCTCCACTTTGCCTTCCACAATCAGTAAAAGTTCCCTGAGGCCTGCCCAGAAGCAGATGCTGCCATGCTTCCTGTGCAGCCTGCAGAACTGCGAGACAACTAAACTCTTTTCTTTATAAATTACTATAAATAGTCTTTATAGCAGTGTAGTTCTTTATAGCAGTGCAAGAATTGACTAATATACTTACACACACACACACATATATATATATTTACTTACACGAAATATACACTTTTAAAAATCCCAGGTTATTTTTTATTTTCCTTTTACCTTATTCAAATTCCATTTTCTTTCTTTGATTCAACATAGTCCCACTCATTCACCTTCTGTCATATTTCTAGTTAAGTATACATATCATTACTGTAACTATCTTAATCCTGAAAAATAAATTCTCACAACTACTCTCATAGATTTTGAGAGAGTGAATTCTTCAAATGTCAGTCATCAGCTCTGTATTTAAAATATCTCACCTGACAATCACTAAAATTCCAATTCTTACTTTGGTTCAACTTCATTTATGATAACATAGGACATTATTAATAAGTAAAGGGTAATGCTACACTTTTTATTCAAATGTGCCAATGTCTATCCAGATCAATGGAACCTCCCAAAAGTGAACCCCTAATATCAAGCAGGAATTAAACCTGCTTGAATAGTAATGCACAGAGGTTAGGTTTCCTGTGTTAGGCTAGCAAGAGAGCCAAGAGAAGTCCTCCAGGGTGGCATTCATTACTTTAACAAATTTGCTGTGGTCAAAGTTCTGCCCTTCAGTACTGCAGATACATAAACCTGGTTTTGTCAGCACATACAGAGAGTGTCCATCTCTCAGGACCAGCTATTGAGCAAGCTCACGTGACTGATGCATAAAAGCAGAAAGTCAATTGTTCTGTGCAATAAAGTGCAATGGGTTCTTAACCCTCCTTTTGGCTACTACTCTTTGTTGTTTGTTTTCCACTTTTAATCAAATGATTCCTGCTTACTACAAGTGCAAGTGCAATTTCTTCCACCCCATAGTCTGCTGGCTGTTTATAGAATGGAAAGTGGAATCAAAGTATCCCCCAACTTTGTTGCCCACCCCCTTTAAGAATGTTTTCAGGGTTTATGAGTGAATTACTCTAAAGGTTTTTTTCATATGCACAAATCTTTTGGATGGAAAAGATAGGAAACCAGCCCTCTAAATTTAAAAAAAGTGCATACAAATAAAATCAAATTTAAAGAGGAAATGAAAAGAAGCAAAACATTGCTTAGAAATTCTCAAACCCTGAACGTTTAATGACTGTCTAAATCTTTCCTGGGTCTACCCTGTGCACTGAACACATGACCTCTGCTTTCTTGTGCCATTGAACAAAATATTTCCAAAAAACTGCCTTGCAACATTTCTGAACTTGACCCCAAATGGACTTTTTAGAGGGCTCACAGACCATCAGTTACTCTGATCAGAGTCAAGAGATCACATGTTTAATAATAGATATTTACCCTATGAGCCATGGTAGCCAAAGCCAATTTCTCATGATACCTGCAAAAACAAAGAGATTGACTAGAAAATGCCTGTATAGTACTGCAATGATTCACACAAGCTTGCCCAAGGACAGACCTATGATAAAACATTAGCTAATGGAAAATAAAAATCACTGATGCTCTGATGTCAAGTCAGAGACTAAAAGCCACCAGTGAATACCAGTGAATTCTTTACATGATATAAGACTCTTCACCAGCAAAGATTTCAAGCAATTCATGTTTTTTAAGTCTTTATCACTCAACTAGAGACCTTCCTTGGAATCTGTTCTGGTGGCAAGGCCATGTTTCTCAAGTTGCCCAGGAAACTGTCAGTTTTTGTCTGTGATCCTGGCAAAAGTATTAATTATGGTCAGTTCTCTCAAAACCATACTAGTTTCAAAAAGTAAACAATATTGTTTCTTACCTATAGGACCAAACCCAGAACCAATAGCTGAGAACTACGTTCTTTGTTTAGAATATATTTCTGTTCAAAATGCCATGCTTTCTTAGAAAAAAAAAAAAAACAAATTCCTACTAACATAGCTGTATTGTCAGCTTTATCTCTCATCTAGAGGGTGCATTTATTGCATAACTGTCCAACTTGCATCCTCCTTTTAAGGAGTTCCATTTAGCTTAGGATAATGTACAAGACTCTTAAAAACGTCAGAAAAGCCTTGAAATGTCAATTCCAGGTCAGCTTGTCCAGATCTTATACAACTTTCACTTTTGCACACGTGACTTCAGCCACTATGGCTTTCTGCTAATCTCTTTTAAGCTAAGCTCACTGTTGTCACATGGTCTTTGCATATACTGAATGAAATGATTACTGTTTTCTCCTCACTTACAAGTAGTAATTCTATGCATTTTTCAGATCTCAATTCAATTATCATTTAAGAAGTCTTCCTTGACTTCACTGAATGAATATTCATATCTAAAATTATTCATCTCTATTGTACAAAGTACATAGTCATCACTATTGGCACTTTTTACATATGATTATGACTCCTGAATATAATTTTGTCATTTTCACTAAACTGAGAACTTCATGAAAGCAAAACCTGGCAAGTTTTGGAGACTACAAGTCCCCAGGATCTATTTCTACACCAGACATATATTAATACTTTTTTATTATTATTATACTTTAAGTTTTAGGGTACATGTGCACAATGTGCAGGTTAGTTGCATATGTATACATGTGCCATGTTGGTGAGCTGCACCCATTAACACATCATTTAACATTAGGTATATCTCCTAATGCTATCCCTCCCCCCTCCCCCCACCCCACAACAGGCCCCAGAGTGTGATGTTCCCCTTCCTGTGTCCATGTGTTCTCATTGTTCAGTTCCCACCTATGAGTGAGAACATGCGGTGTTTGTTTTTTTGTCCTCGCAATAGTTTGCTGAGAATGATGGTTTCCAGCTTCATCCACGTCCCTACAAAGGACATGAACTCATCCTTTTTTATGGCTGCATAGTAGTCCATGGTGTATATGTGCCACATTTTCTTAATCCAGTCTATCATTAATACTTTAATAATATTTGCTGAATGAACAAAAAAAGTAGAATGTGATGCAATGAACTGAAGGACATTCACACAACCAATTACAAATTAGCTTTCGCTTTCTATTTGTTTAATTTTACCCTACTTCTAAAGTACTGATGCAGTATGAGGAAAAAGGAAGAAAAAAACAATATATAACATACTAGGATAAACATTGGGGATCCTACCAGTCTGTGACCAGAAAATCATATGCTATCTTATTTATGTTTGTCATTCCGTCTCAGAGTAAAAGAAAGAAAAAGCAAATGTTGAATTAGAAGAGTATGTGACAGAGTGAACATTCTTTATGTCTTGCCAGCCTATCTTATTTATTCTAAGACCTTGAAAGCAAGGATCAGAAGAGGGAAGGTTATACTAATCTTTGGGAATTGACATCATTTTTTTCTTTTTTTTTTTTAATTATACTTTAAGTTCTGGGATAAAGGTGCAGAATGTGCAGATTTGTTACATAGATATACACGTGCCATGGTGGTTTGCTGCACCCATCAACCCGTCATCTACATTAGTTATTTCTCCTAATGCTATCTCTCCCCTTGCCCCCCACCCCCAGACAGGCCCTGGTGTGTGACATTCCCCTCCCCTGTGTCCATGTGTTTTCATTGTTCAACTCCCACTTATGAGTGAGAACATGCGGTGTTTGGTTTTCTGTTTCTGTGTTAGTTTCCTGAGAACGATGGTTTCCAGCTTCATCCACATCCCTGCAAAGGATATGAACTCATCCTTTTTTATGGCTACATAGTATTCCATGATGTATATGTGTCACATTTTCTTTATCCAGTCTATCATTGATGGGCATTTGGGTTGGTTCCAAGTCTTTACTATTGTGAATAGTGTTGCAATAAACGTAGGTGTACATTATAAATCATTCTACTATAATTGACGTCATTTTTAAAATAGAAGCCCATAGACCTACCCTACTTCTTTCTCAATTCACATCTCTGTATTTATACCTTGGATTAAAGTAACATAGCAACAGTAATTTGCTCTTTACAAAGAGCTACCTACTATTTTCTATTAATTTTATAAAAAAGTTTTTAAAAGGCTTATAAAAGGAGCTGGTATGACATTTTTATTAAAAATAATATGTTTAATTCATTTCTTAAATATATATAAATATATACATATATATACATATATATATATGCGCGTGTGTGTGTGTGTGTGAGTGTATTGCCCAACTTGTAGAAGAAAGTTAAACATACTTCATGTATTTAGCCCCATCCAGATATTCAACGCCTAGCACCTAATCTGGATTTCCCACACAGTACATTGTAATACCTATTTATTATTTTATAATAAATAATAACATTTATCACAAAGGCTGAAATCTTCAAATGCATGAGATTTTTCATTTTCTGTTTTAATGAGATCTGCAAGGGGAAATGAATACAAAATTTGCTTATCTTGCAAGGAATTAAAACAAAAGAAGGAGTTGGGTGTATCAAATGTTCAGTAGCATCAAGCTAGAAGAGTATCTCATCATCCATCTCACAGCTAAGAGAGCCTCATGAACAAGATGGGTAGGAAAATAATGAGGTGGATACAGGGGAGAAGGAGAGAGGAAGGGTAATGTGTACAGAGGGTTCAGGTTATTGGTTAAAACTCCATCCAAGAGAAATATCTGGATGGGTGCTGATAAAATTTATAGGTGTTACTTTCCTTTACCTATGATTTTACCACTGACCAACTTCCCCGATGAACATCTTATTCTTTTACTAGCTATATTAATATATTTATTCAGGTAACAGTTAAGTCACACAGGCCTTGAAAGTATTCTTTCTCTTTCCAGTGACCTACATATTTCCGCTCTGTTCTACTGTCATTATTTAACAGTTAATCTCTCAAAGAGCTGTTATACTTCACTTATTCCTGAATTCTTGAGGGAGATCTCATTACAACCCCAAGTTAACGATACTTATATTCATATATGAAATATTTCTCAGAAATTCTACTTATTAGTCCCTATTTATATAGTATAAAGAGTTTTCTTAAATACAGTCATACTGAACTAAAATTTATTGCTTAACCTACTAATTAGGCAAACTGTGTCTCCTAGAATTTGTAGTTCACAAATTCTAGGTAAAAGACCAAGTGTGTCTTCATTAATTTGATTTTGAAATTAATCATTCTCAACAAATGAAAATTTTATAATTAAATACATTTATTGAACAAATTGTCTTTCTGTTTGGTATGATAAAGGAGATTTTTCACCATTCTTACCAAGAATCCTTATATAAAGATCCATATGTGTCTGTCTCCTCTTTAGGAAATTAAATGACAAGACACGAAACATAAAAATTTTCCATATTAATTATAAATTCATACTTAACATACTTATTAAAATGATTTTATTTATGTAATGTAAGAATGATTATGACTGTGATTAACCACAAACAAAGTTCCAAAGCTTATTCTGTCAAAGCAAATTTCCTATCATACCTGTCAAGTTTAATCTTACTGAGATAGATAGTAACTTGTGAACTCCATTTCTAAATTTGCTGGAACCACTAGTGTGACTCTCAGTATTTACGCTGGCTTAAATACAGCTCATTGGTCCTATGTAACAAACATGCATGTCCTGAACATGTATCCTGGAACTATATATATATATATATATATATATATATATATATAAAAATACACACACACACACACACACATATATATAATATAGGTATAAATTTTATATTTATATATAAACCTTATATATAAATATATTTATATAGTTATATAATTATATATAACTACCTATATATATAGTAATTTAATGCATTTTTCAGATCTCAATACAATGATCATGTAAGAAGCCTTCTTTGACTTCGCTGAATTAATATTCATATCTACTACTGTTATATATATAGTTGAAGTTGAAGCCTATGCCCATAGCTGACAGCAGTTGTAATTGTACTAGTCAACTGCCTCCCAAGTTCAAAACTCAGCATCAGATTAACCCTATATTTTTGAAAACTAAACATAAAATAATGAGGTACAGAGAATTTAGACATCTCCACGTGTCTATGTTGCTTCTAACCCTTCAGCGGATATCATATCTATAGCTTTCTGATGGAAATCTAGAGGGGAAGAGTTATAATATATAATACATATATTATACTATTTGAAAGAATTTTCCTTGAAGTTTCAAGACATGGAAACAAATATGCCTTTCCCATGTGGCCTGTGAACTGGACTCTTGCTATTCAAAGCACGATTCATGGAACATCAGTAGCAGCATCAAGTGGGAGCCTGTTAGGAATGCAGAATTTCAGGTCCTATCCCACACATACAAAAGTAGATTTTACTTTTATCGAAATCCCCAGGCAATTCATATATGTACAATGAACGTTGAAAAGCAGTGGTCTAGGAAAACTTCCTCAAATATATAAATTACATTGCTTGTGAGTTTCTTAGAAATGTGTGTTAACTATGCATTTATTTCAATGAATTTAGGAGTTATAGCTGCATATTCATTTCTAGTTAAAAACATTAAGTTCAGTTCAGTGAGATAATTCAAATGTTTTTACTAAGCAAAACCCAAGACATCTTCAAGCTAAGCATTGCTAACATTAAATTTTAAACACAAATGTATTTCAAAGAGATTTAATCTATATATTTTGAGCTAATTCACACTTACATTTTTAAAGCACACTTTGATGTCTACACAATTTCAAGAGCTCTCTCTGTGTGTGTGTGTGTGTGTGTGTGTCTTTGTTCATACCAGGAACTTTAGAATGTTATGCATGAATCCTGAAATTTAAAACTAAAGTTTTAAAATGTATTTAACTTAGAAAACTATGATTTACAATTCCAGTCAAAATTAACATTACTTAAAATAATTTATTGCACCAAAGCTCCAAGATAAAGAAAAATCCATTTAAAGCAATCAATTTGCTAGTTTTAAGACTATGCAGCAAAATATAGTGATAGGCTTTGATTATGCAATTTTAAGTAAAATGTTAAAGCTATGGTGACATATGTGGGTGAATACTTAATTTTTTTCCCTCATATTACCTCTCAAGTAATTTGCAAATATTAAGGCTAAAAATGGGATCTTCTTCATAGGTAAGTCATTTAGATGTAGGCAAAAGATTGATAGTAACATCCTTAAAAAAAAGATCCAAAAAAGTGCAATAACTGCCAAATACCTGAGCAAAAGGTGGAGAAAAGAAAGGAAGAGACAATTAGTGGGGTGTAGGAAGTCTGAAAGGAGGCATAAATTATATAATCAGATCTATCATATTTCCCATAAAATGAGTAAGAGAGTTATATTAGCTTCCTCTGTAAATGAGTCAGGAATTGGCCAGGCCAGGCACATACTCATTTGTCTCCCTTTCACTAACATATTTGTCTTCTTTCTTCTTAAATCAAATGAATGATCAATATGATGTAGCTATGGGGATATTGACTTGGTTCTCTTATGGTCTCAGAGAATTAGCCTTACTGATATTTTGGTTGTATATAATTCTTATTTAAACTAATACTACCGAAGATAATAATCTATCATATAATTTTAAGGGCATGATAATTCAATGAAAAACAGATTTAATGAGAATTGCTACTTCTCTAAATTACCAATATACTCTCCTGATTTGTTTAAAGTTCATTGTGCAAAAAAAAAAAAAAGCATTTTATTATATTCTTTATTCTATGCTCAAAAGTTAACCAGAAAATGTGAACCAGGCTAGAATATGTCAACTGTCTTCTGCAAGCACTGCCAACTTGCAGGTCTGTAGTAGACGTATCTCTTACTTGGCTTTGTTTCATTCATTTCCTATTCTCCCTCTCTTCCATTCTTCCTTCATTTTTTCTTTACTTATTTTTAATAGGGCCAAACATTTAGTGAAAAAATCCAATCAAGAATTTAACCAAAACAAAGAAAATTTTAAGAACCTGATAGCAAGAACTCTGCCTTTTCTTTTTTTTATGTCTCTTCAGTCTCTAGCATGGTGCACTGTCAGGCTCTAGCATCATGCATTGTGAATGGCGGGGCCTTAATAAATGTGGCACCTTGTCCTTGGATTTCTTAAAGAGCCCCTCAAAGTCACACAGAAACAAGAACCAAAACTGGTCTATGTGAAACCAAATATTTGGACAATGCTGCAGTTGCTTAAGGTCAATTTTCACCATGCACCAAGCTAAAGTCTAGGGCCAGGTCCATTAAGCTTAGGTAACAAAACAGGTAGCAAGAATACTAAGTTTAACAAAATGTACTCCCTAAGGGAAATATGCTGTTTCTGCATATTACAGTTTCTTGCAATCCAGTTAATATTGCCCAAGTGCAATAATAGGAGCTTTATGCCCTACTTCTAATCCAAAATCACTAGTTTTTGACCACATTTTTTCCACTCCAATCTATTCAACTCCTGGGAATATGAGAGTAGAAGCCAAACTTTCTAAAGTCTTTACCTGACTCATATACTCAGGTATTTCACATTGTAGCCCCCAAGAGTTCTTATTAGTCCTAGGACCTGTCTAATGAACTTGGATATTGGCAATCTGCCTGGTAAAATCTGTAGATAAATTAACACTTTGTCCAGTCCTGATCTCCTGATATGGATCAGTCCTTTAAACTAATTTACTTATTTCCTACTGAACAGAACTATGAAATTAGATATAAACCTTAATGTGTCTCAGTTCAGGCTACCTTAAAAGAAACTGAAACATTGTAACTGTTACTGTTTGGAAATTTTAGTGTATTTGATTTTGAAGAAAAATAATCATCCAAAAGAGCTTGGCTGAGATCTGATGGATTTTTTTTTCTTCTAATCAAACTGCATATTTAATTGAAAGTAACTTCATACCTTCATTGAAGAACCAACACTCTATTTAATTTGGGGAGTAAATAAATATTTTATAGGTATTAGAAGATAAATAATAACACTTTGTTATGAAAACAACTTAAATTACTGGTTGGGTTTGAAACAGAGGTTGTAAAGTTACTGACTTTTCACTATATATCCTAATGAAACATTGATGTTTATACTATGAGCATGCATGTAGTATTTTTTTGAAAAAACAATAAAACATTAGCATTTTTAAATGGCCAAATCAAACCTCCAAGATAGAAATGATATTTTATTTAAATATAGAGAAATTACAGACAAGTATTACTATAGAATTTTTCTTGGCTATATTAAGCCAGTTTTCTTAAACCATTTTAAATAGCAATAAGATGTTGGAGAATTAAATGAAAATTACATATCAATAGATTCAGCAATTCTTTCTACAAAAGATAATAGGAAGGAGTAGGAGGAAATGAAGAAGCAGGTATCATTTTATCTTAAGAAAATGCAATGTGTTTTTCTTCCTTTTCTTTCAAAAAGCACAAAAAAGCAGCTTGCAGTGAAAGGGTTTGAAGAGGCTAAGAAGTTGTGTTGTTGTACATAATCCCACAGCATAGCATGAGGGATTAAATTACCAGTGATACAAACAAAGAAACTATACAGAAACAAAACAGAAAAACAAACAACAAATATACACATTATAAACAGACATGCAGCTACTTAGAACTTTGATGCAAAAAAATGCTAAATGTTGAAAACAAAATAAAAATATTTTTTTTAATTTAAAAAAGAAACATATGTTTATTTCCATGGCAATGAGCTATACTTATATCAAATAGAAGACTCGGAGTTTTCAAAGCGGTCCTAATTGGGTGGCTGTTTGGGAATCAGACTTCTTGAATTTGAATCCAGATTCTGCTTCATACTAGCTAAGCAAACATGGACAGTATATGTATATATAATCACTCTCTTCCTTCTCCATCCCTCCTCGAACTCTTCTTTTTAAAGATTGAGCTTGCAAGACAAAAAGACACACAGGCACAGACATACACATACACATATGTATATGTATGTGTGTATAAATATAATAGATATGTATATATTGTATATACTAGATATATGTATATATTAATACATGATCTATAATGTATTATTAGATATGTATATATTTTATATATACTACTATATAATACATATCTAATATTTTATTATATATGTAATATATTTTATACATCTAATATATATTATATATGCATACACATCTAATATATAACATATATACATATGTATATATTATGTATGCACATTTTATACATATATATAATGTCATGCCAGTAAAAAATTAAATCACAGAATTATATTTACATTGGCAGCCTTGCATAAATACCACGTTAACCCACAAGCTTTTTTTTTTTTCTTTTCTGGAATTAACATGCAAAAAATAAAGGGCAAGAATTTGGGGGATTCCTTGGTTTTAACATTTACTGCTTCAACTTACCTTTTTGAAGTAACGTCCACTTAACAAATCTCTAGTTACCTCAACACAATTAAAACTCACAATCACTGATCAAAAATTAACATAGTTTGTGTGAGAACATCACACAACACATCAGACCTCTCTAGGAGCATCACCCGCAGAGCTGTTAATGAACAAGCATCGAAGAACATGCCTTGACCTTGTTTCTCTAGATAGAGGGGAAAGAGTACAACACAAAGAGGACAAGAGTAAAAGTTAACCAAGCCAAGCTAGATTTAGAGAAGTTATACATAAATGCAACTTTCTGAGAAATAGTGAATGATGCAATGACCATATCAGGGAAACTATATTCATCATTCAAATAGCCAAAAAAGCCCTAAGAATTCTATCTCATTGCACAAATACAGAGACAATAATAGACAGTCAGATATGTGTATGTGTTTCATCCCCCAAACTGCTACACATTATAGCTGCAGGCAAGGCAATTTAGTGGTTGAGAACTGCAAACTTGTGTCACTCTAACCCTAATACCTAATACCTGCAGAGAACTCAGATTTCAATGTGTATTACTAATATAATGCTCTCACAAATTAGACAATGTTTAAATTGTTTATGTTTTTATTTTTCTTCATGAAAGAAGGCTATGATACTGTTACTCTAATATTTAAATATTAAAAAAACTACATTATAAGAGTTGTAAGTGGAAAAGTAAGGAAGTAAACACTTCAGTATAAAAGATGAAAGAAATCCAGAAGACCAGAATATGTCCACAAATACACTAAAAATAAAGCAATTTTTAAATAACTATGTATTGGTGGTGCACAGAATCAATTCTCTGGACAATATCTCTACTATATTTAATGGAAGACCTGTTTGGGGACATTGAATGTCAAATTATCTTCTCTTAAATATTCCTCACCTGATATAAATTACCACCATCTTAGTTCAGAGAACTGTGCTTTTGAATAAACTATGGATTTTCTTCCTTATGTTCTCTCAATACCAATGATAATAGACAGGAAAATATATACCATATGTTTCTGTTAATTAAGCTTCCTCGCTTATAATCCATTCCAAGAACTGAAGGAAAATATCAATTCGGGAGTCTCCAGATATTATTAATTAATGGTTAAATCGTTTCTATTACTCTAATAAATATGATTTTTTATTTGAAAGAGCTCCTTTATTTAAGAATTTGTTAACATATAATAGATTCTCCCTTGATAATAATGATAACCAAACTAGAGCATGGGGAATTTCACCAAAATTACTTGTAATTTTTTAGCAAATTTGAACCAAAATACCATTATCCCAATTCATAAATTGATATATAATTAATTGGTATTATTACTGAGTATTTGGGCATGCTCGAAAGAGAAAAAGGTGATTAGAATTCTGAGTTCTACCTATTCCTATGCTTATTACATTTGCTTGGTGGAAAATTGAGCACCAGTGGATATTTGTATTAAATGAAGAGCCACGCACTCTTGAGTCACTCTTCCCTTCATTGGGAGGTGTAGTAGGGTCCCTGGAGCAACACTGAGAATTTTGACACATGTAGAACAAACACTTGTTGCTTTTTGTGGCCCAGCTTGGTCTGAAGGGACTCAGGCACACTATGCCCTTGGATGGTCATAACAAAGCTGAACAACAGATTAGTCGCAAATTTGATCACTGAGACACTGACTCTCAAAATATTAATTGAATGCCTTCTGTGAACCTAGCTCTCCATATTAGCAAAAGTTGTCTGGTGTGAGTACTGTTTTTATAATGCCTCCATGGCAGAACTGAACACCAGGTCCTGGGTACATACTGTGGCCACACATATCAATAAATGTTTGAAAAACTAAAAATAACAAGTTTTGGTTAGATTTTTAGAAAGAGAGCATAGATTAGTGGAATGAAATTTCTTTTAAAAGAGTCAGTATGGCTTACTGGTTAAACAATCTTTGGATTAGACAACCTGGATCCCCAAGCTGACTCTGCCACATATAATCTTCAATAATTCAGTGAATATCTCTACACATCACTTTCTTGTGAAGAAGAATAAACCTCCTGTGTATAATACAGGTGGAAAATAAATTAGATGCTATATATGAAACAATTCACACCTAGGATGAGGCTGGCATATGATAAGCATGTAATAAATATTAGCCACTATGATTAGGTTCCAAGTAATACGCATTAAAGGATATGGAGAATTAGCACAGACAGAGGAACAAAGGAAAGGCATTTCAGGCGGTGGCCAGAGTATTATTAAAGACTTAGAATAAAGAAATTCTTTGCATGCCCTTCATCACCCTGTATGATCTATTTGCTACCCAGCTCTCTGAGGTCCTTTCAAGCCATCTCAACTACCTTCATTGTAACTGAGCTACTTTGGCATTCATTCTGTTGAACACGCTCAGAATATCCTCATCTCCAGACTGTCACACACATTCTCTTCAACTTCTCCTGTCTAAACCATGTTCATACTTCAGGTTTTTGCTTAATGTCTCTTCTTCTGGAAAGCCTTTGCTGAAACATAAATTAACCCCAAATGCAGTGCCTTCTATTTATTTAAATTCTCACTGCATTCCGAAAAACAAAATCACAGTTAGGAACATATCCGTGTAATTTTTAAAAACATTTTGGTTCTTCTACTGAACTGTGAATCCCATGGGCATAAGAACTGTATCTGTGTTATACACCAGTATAACCTCAGAGCCTAAAATAACATCTAACAGAGTAAAGAGTCACTGTATACCGCTAATATGTGAATGAATACACAGATGCGTGTGCAATAAGTCTTCAATCTTTTCCAATGTAATTTGGAGATTGACTTAGGTAAAATAAAGTGTTTAAGTTGTAAAATAATATCATATAAGCTACATAGAATCAATTGACAGAGAGCCTTGATTATTAGTCTAATTAATTAGTTTGTAAGAAAAAGTAAAGTTTTTTATCTTTTATTGTTTATTTGATTCACGTACCTTTGTGTAACATTGGTTGTGCAGTTTTATATCTGTCCTCATGTACCCTACCAAATCCTTCCATTCATGAATATATCTTGTTATTCTTTAGAAGGTGGATTCAATGTCTTCATATCAAATATTTTCCCAACCACATGACAATCTGTGCTGAAATTATTGGTATTAAGGTAATTTCCTTTTTTCTCAACACCAGCTGTCCCTCAATGCACATTCAAAACTAGCATCACACTTATGAAGTAGCTGGGGCTTCTCCAACTCGAAATGACCTAGACTTCATATTTATACCTTATCAAAGGAGATAAATGTAATAATGCTTTTAAAACAAAACTCTATGTGAACCATTTTTTTAATTTCTTCTTTCTTACATACTTTTATATCTTTTCACTTTATAGGCTCTTGGTTCATATTAACTAAACACTTATCTATCAAATATTTGCTGATCCCATCATTTAGCAGGCCCAAGGTTAGCATTAGAGATACAAAAAGAAGAAATAAATAATATTTGTTTTTTACAATGTCCACAGGCATATGACAAAAACAGACAATAATATTTTATTAAAATATAATGGCTATGCAAAAGTATGCACACTATTTATGAATATCTAGCATCCCTGGGGAAATAGGGGAAAAATTTAAAAGTACTTTGAGAATATAGATCATAGTCCATCATGCTATTTTACTAAATATTCTTCTCCCTGTGTCCTCGCATATTCTATTTTTTTTTTTTTTTTACTGACATGGAAACATAACAGACATTAATTAAATTTTTTTAGTAACTAACAACAAAATCATGTGCATATGTTATTTTAAGAACACAAAAACAAAATTAATAAGATTATCTATTTGAGAAACATTATCTGTAAAATTAAACACATATTTTTAAAAAATGATCTTTATTTGTTCTACTATTAATACTTATTGATCAAAAAACAGTTACTCTAAAAAGATCATTTAATATTTTAATCTTTAGAACTTTGAAATGGACAAGAAACATAAAGCTGTTTTCATAAAAATGCATCCCAATGCTATAAAATTATGAATAAATTAAAGAATGCATTAAAGCAGATACCTTAATCTTACTCTATAGATAATTATTTCTTTTGTACGTATCTTTTAGCACTGCGTTTTTTAAGTAAACGTTTTTCACTTTAAATTCATCAAACTGAGTCTCAAATGATTTAGAATAAAGAAAGTTTGAGCACAGACAGGACAGCTGAACAAAAACATAAATTTCCCCAAATATTATGACCTGCCTTTAGGCAGAGAACAAAGTTATAACAGCCTAAGGCCCCTCATTCAAGAATTATTCTTTGTACAAATAAATTCAAACAGAGAATCCTTCACTTTCCTAATATTCTTGGGAATTCTCATTCTTCTCCCTTACTCCTGCCAACAGCAGATCTCACTTGCTACCTAAAATTTTCTCCTCACCGATCCATGCCTCATCCACACAAAATTTCCTGGAACTATTACAGCAAGGTAATAGTACCCTTACAGCAAGGGTAAGGTTCTCCATGGTTGAAATGATAATGCTAAAAGATGAATCAAGAGACTAAAAACAAAATCCCTTTACTCTTACTGACCTCAGCTCTTCCATCAATGGCATGTTTCTGTGCTTCCCCTTTCATCGTCCTGAGCTTGTGAGTGATGTTGAGTGCCAGAGACAGAATTTTTAAAAAAGGCATTGTTAAACTCATTGCTCAGTCATCTGTTTCTCAAGCCCAAAATCTGAGAAACTGAGGAATAAGGTCGAAGAGGTCTCATTTTATAAATCTGATTGTAAATGCAAAACACTATTTAATTCATTACTTGTTAATTGACAGTATTTAGGCTCACCCAGGGATATTTTAGGTTTATGCTTACTAGGATTATAGGGAGTTTAGAAAAGTGATACTTCTAATGGTTAAGGTGAAGCATACCTATTTTTCCTGTTTTATATTTGCTAGCTCTTCTAAGAGTAAAGGGATACTTTATTTTAAAATAGTGAGATCTCCAGGTAACAACTGAAATTTGAGCTTTCGTATTTATAAAGGTCATGAATATTTGCCAATTGGTGAATTTAATCAGATTTTAAAGTTAATTGAAAACCTACATTATAGAGGCATAAAATTTAATCAGCACCCTTCTATCTATTTGTCGTATACATTCTTTTAGTCAGTTTCAGATTTTGAATTGGACCAAGTTGTAGACCTTTGTTTCAGTTTTTTGTTTTTAGGTAATTACCAGATATAATTTGAGGAATTTTTCTATATCCTCCTGATATTTATAAATGTCTTCCTCCAGAGAGTTTCAGATCAGTATGTAAGTATTCAGGACCTCCCTCAAGGCAATGGTAGCTTTGTGGGTTTTAAGGGCTCATAGCTGAAGTCAGGCTTGAATTGACCCCTTTGCTTTGTCACAAGTGTGTCATCGGTGTTTTTTCCTATATCCCTGAGTATAAAGATTTTTTACTTTTATGTCTATTTTTTGCAACAGAGGCAAAAGGGCCTAAGGCACATCGTCTACTTAGGAGTGTGGCCCTCCACAGGTTACACACTACTACCAATGGGCCTTCATTCTTTCTCCTGAGCATTCGATAGAATGGGAGTCAGTGCCAGGTTGAGACACAATCAATTATTACAGGGAAAGAGTCATTCCCTTGTGCCTACTGTTAGTCACGGTTTATGCTGGACTTGAGACACACAGATATTTCCCAGCCAAGACACAGGGACTACAGTCATTTTAGGAGAGTTCTAATTCCATACTACTCTCTTTAAATGTGTATTATCAAAACTTTCAACCTGGGTCAGTTAAATCTTTACACTGTTGGTGGAAATGTAAATTAGTTCAACCATTGTGGAAGACAGTGTGGCAATTCCTTAAGGATCTAGAACCAGTAATATCATTTGACTCAGCAATCCCATTACTGGGTATATGCCCAAAGGATTATAAATCATTCTACTATAAGACATATGTACATGTTTTATTGCGGCACTATTTACAACAGCAAAAACATGGAATTCAACCCAAATGCCCATCAATGATAGACTGGATAAACAAAATATGGTACATATACACCATAGAATACTGTGCAACCATAAAAAGAAATGAGATCATGTCCTTTGTAGGGACATGGATGAAGCTGGAAACCATCATATTTAGCAAATGAATACAGGAACAGAAAATCAAACACCACATGTTCTTACTCATAAGCAGAGGTTGAACAATGAGAACACATGGACACGGGGAGGGGACCAACATACACCAGGGTCAGATGGGGGGTGGGGATTGAGGGAAGGGAGAGCATTAGGACAAATAGCTAATGCATGTGGGTCTTAAAACCTAGATGACGGGTTGATAGGTATAGCAAACCACCATGGCACATGTATACCTATGTAGTAAACCTGCATGTTCTGTGCTTGTATCCCAGAGATTGAAGTAAATTTTTTACAAAAATTAAAAATGTTGAAAAAAAATGTTAACTTGGAAATAACCAAAAATACAAACAAACAAACAAACAAAAATCTATAAGAATAACTTATGCACAGAACAGCAGGGCTCAAAGCTAACACTAGCCAGCAGCCAACAGCTCCGTGTGCATGCTTGCCAGCAGGCAACAAAACCAATTAGCAAGCACTGGAAGAAAGACAACCCCCTTACAGATTGCGGTGATACTGGTCATTGTTTGGACATCCTTCTCACACCCCACAGAAGTTGGATGGATCTCCACACACCTAACTTTTGGTTAAGGTTTGTAACTGATTATGCCACATCTACATCAACAGGTTATGAAACGCTTTATAACTAACATAAAGAAGCTTTCTACAACAGGCAGGGCAACCTCCCACACAGGTCCAAAAACAGTGTCTTAAGAAAGCAGAGAAAGGAGATTGGCTTGACTTTTATTATGATTAGTAGATGGGTCTAGGGTGAGGGTTCTCATGAATGAGATAGGGCTTGCATGGTTTGAAATTCCTGCCCTTGCCAAAGAAGAGAGCACCTAGTCTTTCTGATCAGCTTGACCATCTGTGAAGTAGAGGAGAAAGGAGAGTGGTAGGGGTTGAACACTGTCAGCACTCAGACATCAAAAATGAACTCAGAGTCTTTATTAACATTTCAAGTGAATTTCCTACTTCAAGGTCTTTGAAACTACTAGTTCCTTTCCCATGAGTTATCCTTCAACCGATCAAAATGTAACAAGATGTTGATGATTTCTTCCACTGTTCTAAAATCATGGCTTAAGCTGATGCTATAGAGCCTTAAGTACTTCATGAGAGAGATGCAAACCATCAAAATAATTGAGAGGTATAAGTCAGGGAATGGACTGTGTCATCTCTACTTATCCTTATTGATTACTGTGGGATGAAAATCAGAAAACAAGGCTAGCTGACATTTCAGAGAGTTCCCTGTTCATGGAAAGTGAGCCATCACTTAGAAGACATGGAAAGGGGCTCTGTGAGATTCCTCTGTAAAGACTGGTAGAAGAAAAAAATAATTCTTTTTTTTTATTTCCAATAATTTATTTTTATTTTATTTATTTTTTTATTTTATTATTATTATACTTTAAGTTTTAGGGTACATGTGCACAATGTGCAGGTTAGTTACATATGTATACATGTGCCATGTTGGTGTGCTGCACCCACTAACTCGTCATTTAGCATTAGGTATATCTCCTAAAGCTATCCCTCCCCCCTCCCCCCACCCCACAACAGTCCCCAGAGTGTGATGTTTCCCTTCCTGTGTCCATGTGTTCTCATTGTTCAATTCCCACCTATGAGTGAGAATATGCGGTGTTTGGGTTTTTGTTCTTGCGATAGTTTACTGAGAATGATGATTTCCAATTTCATCCATGTCCCTACAAAGGACATGAACTCATCATTTTTTAGGACTGCATAGTATTCCATGGTGTATATGTGCCACATTTTCTTAATCCAGTCTATCATTGTTGGACGTTTGGGTTGTTTCCAAGTCTTTGCTATTGTGAATAGTGCCGCAATAAACATACGTGTGCATGTGTCTTTATAGCAGCATGATTTATAGTCCTTTGGGTATATGCCCAGTAATGGGATGGCTGGGTCAAATGGTATTTCTAGTTCTAGATCCCTGAGGAATCGCCACACTGACTTCCACAATGGTTGAACTAGTTTACAGTCCCACCAACAGTGTAAAAGTGTTCCTATTTTTCCACATCCTCTCCAGCACCTGCTGTTTCCTGACTTTTTAATGATTGCCATTCTAACTGGTGTGAGATGGTATCTCATTGTGATTTTGATTTGCATTTCTCTGACGGCCAGTGATGGTGAGCATTTTTTCATGTGTTTTTTGGCTGCATAAATGTCTTCTTTTGAGAAGTGTCTGTTCATGAGAAAAAAATAATTCTTATTCTTTGTTTATGCATCTGCCTAGAAAGAGGACTTAATGATATGCTCCTGTGCTAAACAGAAAAATAAAAAGGAGAATTTGGAGAACAGAGGGAGATAGACAGCGGCAAGACATAAAGGGAGCTAGAATCAGCTCCTTTAAGTGAATAAGAGAAGCATTCTGCAGGGATCCATCATCATAGAAGGACAGACAAAACTGAAAGAGAGTTTGGTCATTTCACATCCAGATTTGGGGAGTGAAGGGAGAAAAGAGATATGGGCATTAGAATAATACACTATAAAAGTCATCAGCTAAAGGTCAGCTAAGACATGAATCCAAACCAAGATGTTCAAAATGCCTAGAGGAGCTGCACAGAAATGAACACCTTATCAGCATGATGTGTTAAAATTCCCAAACAACAACAACAAAAAATAGTTCTTACAGTCCAGCAAGGAAAAGATGTATATCCTGCCCAGGAGAATTAAGAAGACATTGAATAGTTTAATGTGTAGCAAGCAAGTCAAAGTCTTAAATGGGAAAGTCAGATGATTCCAGCAACTAAAATAGACCAAAGAAGTTCTTGAATCTGTTCTTTTTGTGACCTGTTATTTAGGAGAAAATTTCATTAAAAAGGTGGCATCTGAGTATAGCTATGAAAACATAAAACTTAAACAAAATGATTCCAAATATATTCACATAACTGGATCCTTCTCAGGCTTCAGCTCTTGGGCTATGTGTTTTGTCTCTATAGGGTTATCTCTGACCACTGTAATTAAGTGTTTTGTATCTGCCGTCATGGGTAGTTGAGTTGAGAAGGTATAATACACAAATGGATTCTGAAACTACGGCTTTCTCTCTTTTATACACCTGTGTACACATGCACATGCACAGGTGCATGCACACACGCACGCACACACACACACAGTTGCATACAGTTATCCAAATATGTGTATTATAGGAGATGTGATCATCCTTAACCATGGGGGGTTTATAGAGTAAGAAAAGTAGAAGTCTACAGTCTGAATGAACATTGAGAAAAATCAACATTTGTTAAAGAACTTCTCATAGAGAAATGAGAGGAGGCAGAGTTAAGAAGTTACAAGTTGAATCAGAATAAGATAGAGTCAAGTTCAAAGAAAAGTGAAGAAGGGAAGAGTAATCCAGAGTGTCAAATCCAGCAAAAAGTTCTTCTGAGATAAATACTAAGACATTCCATTGCATGTAGCTTTTCACAGATCTAATTATCTAACAAGAGACATTTGATTAAAAATTTGAGATAAGGAGTTTGACTAGTAAATGGGAATGGAAAAATGTTGTTGAATACCAGTCAGGAGGATGTATGAATGTCCTATACATGGGGAAAAAATTTTAAGCTATATATCAATAGAAACTTAAACAAGTGAAAAATACTTTCTCTAAGCTTTTAAAGATCTCAGGTGAAAAATGTCATGTTAGCAAAATATTTCATTAGAAAAATTGGATATTGGTTTGGCTCTGTGTCTCCACCCAAATCTTACATCAGATTGTAATTCCCCATGTTGGGGGATGGACCTGGTGGGAGGTGATTGGATCATGGGGGCAGACTTCCCCCTTCCTATTCTCATGATACTGAGTTCTCATGAGATCTGGTGGTTTAAAAGTGTGTAGCACCTCCCACTTTGTGCTCTCTCTCTCTCTCTCTCTCTCTCTCTCTCTCGCTCTCTGCCACCTGAAGAAGTGCTTACTTCCCTTTCACCTTCTGATGATGGTATGTTTCTGGAGGCCTCCCAGCCATGCTTCCCATATGGCTTTCAGAAGTGTGAGTCAATTAAACCTCTTTTCTTCATAAATTACCCAGTCTCAGGTAGTTCTTTGTAGCAGCGTGAGAAAGGACTAATACAGGTATCTGTTGCATAATTTCCGCAAAAGATCATTTTTGACTGGTTTGCAACTTTTGACATCATCCATTGATAATAACTCCAAGAAAGCTATAATGGAATACTGCCTGAGTCATACTCCAGGATTGGGAACTGGCTAGCTGTAGAACTAGTGAAAAGTATTTTTTTTTCTCTGGATCTCAGTTTATGGATTAGGTTTTTATTAAAATTCTAGATTTTATATTTTATTATACTCACATGTCCAAAAATAATTCCTATTCCTACACAGTGTAGGGAAGCTAGACTGCCTTTACTTATATTCCTGCTCTGCCATATAGAAGCTATGCAACTTTGGGCAATTGGCTTATGCTCCTACTGTCTCAGTTTCCTCATTAAGTAAATGGAGAAAATTATAATAATAGTCACTTCATAAGGTTATGAGAATAAATATTATATGTAAAGGTTTTCATAGAGTGCCTAGCCTAAGGTAATTGCTCCATAAATTTTATCTTTCATTATATTTTAATAACACACACTTATAGAATACTATAAAGTATATATAAACATAAATACATATGAGCTCTTATCTGTGTGTTTGTGTATACATATAAAGAAAGATAAACACATCTATAGTCCTATTTAGTGTACGTGAACATATATTTCTTTAAAAATATTTAACAAATTTGTACTTTATAAAGTTATTTTTCATAAAATCTACATGTGTAAATAGGAAGCTCAAAAAGTAGAATTTCTAGTTGTCCAACATTCTCACAAGAGGGGAAAAAGATTATTTTCATGACTGGAAAAATACAAGTACTTTTAGACAAATATGTACTGGAAACTATAATCCACTTTCCTTTCCTACCATTGCACTGACAGCATTATGAACCAGAAAATTGTTTGAGCAGCCACAGATAAGGAATTACAAATCTAGAGGTTCAAGAGTCCTATAAAGCAGATGTAAGGTTAATTTGCATGGTTTAGTTGCCTCCCATATTTTTTCAATATATTTCAATGGCTTGAGACTCTGAAAAACTGATAGCAAATAAAAAGGTTTCTATAGGCTGCTAGATTTCATGCTGACTCAGCTGTCTGAGGGCAAAGCCAATTACTATGGCTTGCATTTCCTTGTGCAGAAACCAGAACATATTCATTGTTAAATAGAGCCATTAAATATTTAGGGGAGGGTGAAAAGTTTTATGAATTGAGATAATAACAGTGAAAAACTACCAAGGATATTTTTCTCTTAAACAACAAGAAAACACTTTTCTAAGAGTAACTTGAAAATCTCAAGCATGAAATATGATTTGATTTAATATCCTTTCAATAGTCTTTTTAAATGTTGATTTTTTAGGTTGGTGTATAAGAAAAAAAAAATCCTCTGATATAAAGCTAAATTTTCTCTTCAGAGTAATAAAAGAACCAATATGGTCTCCTGAACAAAGGACTAACTGAAGAATTGGGATTCTATTTTTGGCTTCACCAGTGACTTGCTCAGTGACCTTGGACATATCACTTAAATGACTTTGTGCCTCAAGGTTCCCAGCTTTAATATAGAGATTATAATGCCTGCCTCTACTTCATGAGACTGTAGAACTATTTCAGTTGAGTTTGTTAAAAACCCCAAAAGCTTTGGAAACAATCAGAAATAACTGTGAAATTCAAAGTTGTATTTTATTAATTTCTTTTTACTATTTGCTTTTGTTTTCTTGTAGTCTTCTATAATCCTTTTCCTACTAAAACAAATCACTGTGATAAAATTAATAGATGGAGATTTTCATTAGATATTAAAAAACGTTTCTAACAGTGAAGTAAAATTAAGAATACACTTCTGAGATCAATTGATATAATTTCTACTCTTCAGTATATTTAAAACTCATGATTCAAAAGATAATAATATTGTGATCATGTAACAGAACTTCTAACTAAATTTGTAATTGACAGTTTTTGTCTAATGCTGGGTCTCCTCACAATTTCTCTCTATGATTTCATTCAATCAATATTGTCTTCTAAGGTCTTTATAAATGCACTGTATTTCATCTCCAAATCCAGAAAACCCATCAATGTTGCTCCCAAATGCCGTGCTTTTTCTAGATTCCTCTGCATAGCAATTTGCATAAAAAAGTAAAAAATTGTGCTCTCCAAAAAAAAAAAAAAAAAATTTGTCCTCCACCACGAGGTTCTGCATAGTGGGAGGACTTTAAGTAAAAGAGACATGTTTTAACTTTTTGTACCCTTTTGCAATTTTTTTCTATTTTTGAACCATATACATTTATCAGTTGTTCAAAATTAATTAAATATTATTTTTTCAAAGTTGTTCTTCTTAAACTCCAAGTTAGAAGTCCCTACCCCAACCACAGAATTATCTTTTTTGCTCCTCTCTCACAGTATTTCTTAGAGTCTTGGACTCTATGCCATAAAATCTTGGAATCAAAGAAGACTCAAAATTTTTCACCTACAAATTGGAGGAGCCTCAGTCATCCTTTCTCCTGTCATATCACTTTAGTGTATCCTCCACAGTGTTTCCAGAATGCATTTTCTAAAATAAGAATATATGTACAATCAACTCTCCTTCTCTGCTCAAAACAATCTGATGGTATCTCCTTTATTCCTAGACAAAAGTTTTAACGTGGTACACTCATCATCTATGATCTTGCACTTTAATACCTTTCAGATCTCTTACAATCCTCAATAAATACCATATTCATTTCTGCTTCTCTGTCTTTCTATATAATATTCTCTCTGGCTAGATGGACCTTTATCATATACTCATGTGGCTAACAAATTCCAATTTCACACTCAGTTAAAAAACATTTACCATTCTGAAGCCTGCTCTAAAACTTTGCAAAGATCAATGATACCCAATGTGTTCATGATCATTCAGAGGCATGCACAGAGTAGCAAAATATTTGAGTTGCCCCAGGTACATGTCCCCTGCCTACGTCAAACAAGGAGACATTCCACCTTGTTGTTTTAGTCACATACTGCAAGAAAATGTTGTTTTTTCTTTTTCAGTCTATTTGGTGTCACATTTTTTTACACATTGTATACATTAAATCTTTACATATTTACATATTGAGTGTATCTATTTTATTTGTATCAAAACACTGGCTTCAGCCATATATTTAAGACCTCTTTCATTTCCACAATAGCACATTTTTTACACACATTTCTAACTTTCTGGTCATTTCAGTTACAAAGTACTTTTCGTTGTTGATATTGCTGTTTAAAAATGACCTCCAAGCATAATGCTAATGTGATGTCTAGTGTTCCCAAGTATAAAAAATCATGATGTGCCTTTGTGAGAAAATACGTGTTCGATAAGCTGCATGCAGGCATGACTTAGAGTGATACTGGCTGTGGGTTTAATGCTAATGGATCAATTACAAATTAAATATGATGTCCTTAAAAACACACACATAAAACACAGTTATGCACTGATAAGTTAATTAAAATGCTATGATCAGAGGCTTTCAGGAACCTAATTCTGTATTTTCCTTAGGAGCAATGGTTCTCTATTTGAAAACTCAATGTTTGTGGTAACTTTCTAGAACACAACTACCACAAATAATTAGAACTGATTGTATATATTTTATTTGTATCCAAACACTACCTACAGTCATATTTTTAAAGACCTCTTTCAATTTCCTAATAGTACATATCTTGCATACGTTTCTAATTTTCTGGTTACTTCAGTTATAAATAAAAGTGTGGCCAACCTTAAAGCATCAATCAAATGCATCCATTTAATGGTCACCTCCTTATATCCCCAAAATCTAGCCAGATATCTACCTTAAGAGTGGGAGGAAAGCTGCAGTTCTTTTACTCTTCCTCTTCTCACGAATCTAGGTTGTTTTTACCTCTGTTGACAAGGAAGGGAACATGTGATTATGTGGGAGCTGCTGTACTTCCCTCTTCTTTGTCCTTGATGCTCTTGGTAAGACTAACTGGCCGTTGATATTGTCTCTGTGGCAGCCATCCAAATGCTGGCTGCCTTTTCAAACCCAAACTTGCACTCTGCACTAGAAAACTAATGAACACTTTCTTCAGTAACTGCCACATCTTTGTCTTCCTTTAATCATGGTATTATTTCTATTTTGTGTACTTGCCCTTCTATTACCATGGTAATGATTAATGTTATCCTTAGATTTTTGCTTCTCCCCTTTCTAAAGAAAATTGTAGGATTACTCTGTGCCACATCAGGCCTATATGAAGTCTTGTTTTTATTTTTAGAATAAAAACCTCTAAGAAGTGAGGCACAGTTTGCTATGTCTCCTTTCCACAGCCACAACAACCTACATCTCTGCAGACAGTGGAGTTTACATCAGGTTATATTATTCAGGAAAGGCAATATAGAATGAACCCCTGTTTATGGTATCAAAAGTAGAGTGCTGCCTTAAAAAGTAAGTTGCATTGGCATCTGCTTTTAAATTCAGCAGACTTTAAAATAAAACTTGAATTAGAAGTTAAAAATTGGTGAAATTTACATTGGTAAAATATCTCCTAAAATTGTGGTTTTAAATAATTTAGAAGGATTGATTACCTAAGAAACTTTTAGATCTAAAGATTGGAAAACAGAATATTAGTTTCAGAGTATTGTTTCAGTTGCTAGTAGTTTCTTTAGGAACTGTATTGAAAGAAACAGACAAGCTCAGATAAAAGTAGCCATTTTGCAAGCAGAAATAAAAGAAAAAAGAGAGAGATTTTAGAAATTCAGGGCCTTCAGATGTTGAAAAATTCACTGAACTAACTAAGATCATAATACGAAGACATGAAATTTAGAAAATATTTTGATCCACAACAGCAGACGTATACTCAGCCTTGAAGTAATTTCAATTTACCAATAAGATGTCACTAAATGTGAGTTGGGAACAGATGTGCATAATTGGTTCTTGCAAGTAAGTGTAAGCTGGCTCTAATGTCCCAGTCTGTCATCCTCCAGCAGGCTATCCTGGGCTTGTTCTCATATTGGTGCCATGAGCTCAAGAAAACCGGCAGAAGTATTCAATACCATATAAGGCCTGAATTCAGAACTGACATATTCTCATTTCCTTTGTATTTTATTGCCTGGAGCATGATACAATGATAGCCCAGAATCAATAATGTAAAAAGAACTCTGAATCATGATACAATTCGTTACTAAGTCACATTACAATGAACATGTATTTGCCAAACTTCTGATAAATGTTGATTATACTACAAATAAGAAAAGGATTAAGAATAAGTATTAAATGATTGCAGTCATATGTTCTATTTTTAACTTAATGTTTTAACATAAAAATAGGTATTCTAGCAAAGTTGTGAAAGATGAGTGAATTTACACAATTTCATTCCACACATCAATCACTGCCAGCCATTAAATCTATTTAGTTTTGTAATTGTTGTTACATTTGTTAAGTTTCTGAAGGTTGTAACAGACAGCTTCGCTTTGGTAACAAACAGCTCTCAAATTCAGTGGCATAAAACATGAGTCATCAGAAGCTTTATGTCTGCAGCTGCTGTTCTGCTCCATGTGTCTATCCCTTTTGGACTGTAGTTAAATAAATAACTTCCATTTACACCATCCCTGTTATTAGAATGGTTAAAAAAAACACACAGAAAAAAAGATAGCTGATAGAAGCTTGCAGTTATGTTTACTACTCAGATATGTTAATTACACCAGCTTACATCCAAATGACCAAAAACATCACATGGCTATCTATGCTCAAAATTAACAGACATTTTCTTTTCTTATAATTGGTAAGGCACTATAATTCACTTGCCAATGGGAAATAATGTATTATCCTTTTATAAAAAGCAAATAATTGGGGCGGTAAAATCTACCAAAGTCTGTAGTCTTGATCTCTTACGCAATCCCAAAAGAAGTTACTCCGAAAGTCTTATCCAATCATTGCATTGAGTTTGAAGTCCAGAATTTTTCTGTCCTCTCTTCAGGTCTGAATATAATTCATATCATCTAGAAATCTATTGTATAAAATAATACAAATAACAACAATGATATACTAAAAAAATGTTACTTTCTCACTATATACTAAGCTACAAGAGTGAAGATATACAGATCAGCCACAGTAAGCATTTATTTTAGGAAAAGGGAAGATGAGACGCTTCTAGTAGTCAATGATTCATAGAAATTCTGAAACTTATGCAGAACACAGTTTAAAAATCTAAAATGATCATAGGAAATCTTGATTAGGCCATTATTTTCTCCTAAAGATAGTCCTCAATTCTGACATATTCATTAGCCATTAGCTCTGTTCTCTGAAAAATTCTTCCTTTTTCATGGTCATCCTTGGACACTTCTTAAAAGAGCAATAAAAAGCAATGTCCTTTGGGTATATACCCAGTAATGGGATGGCTGTGTCAAATGGTATTTCTAGTTCTAGATCCCTGAGGAATCACCACACTGACTTCCACAATGGTTGAACTAGTTTACAGCCCCACCAACAGTGTAAAAGTGTTCCTATTTCTCCACATGCTCTCCAGCACCTGCTGTTTCCTGACTTTTTAATGATAGCCATTCTAACTGGTGTGAAATGGTATCTCATTGTGGTTTTGATTTGCATTTCTCTGATGGCCAGTGATGGTGAGCATTTTTTCATGTGTTTTTTGGCTGCATAAATGTCTTCTTTTGAGAAGTGTCTGTTCATGTCCTTCACCCACTTTTTGATGGGGTTGTTTGTTTTTTTCTTGTATATTTGTTTGAGTTCATTGTAGATTGTGGATATTAGCCCTTTGTCAGATGAGTAGGTTGTGAAAATTTTCTCCCATTTTGTAGGTTGCCTGTTCACTCTGATGGTAGTTTCTTTTGCTGTGCAGAAGCTCTTTAGTTTAATTAGATCCACATTTGACCCAGCCATCCCATTACTGGGTATATACCTAAAGGACTATAAATCATGCTGCTATAAAGACACATGCACACGCATTTTTATTGTGCCATGATTCACAATAGCAAAGACTTGGAACCAACCCAAATGTCCAACAATGATAGACTGGATTAAGAAAATGTGGCACATATACACCATGGAATATTATGCAGCCGTAAAAAAATGATGAGTTCATGTCCTTTGTAGGGACATGGATGAAATTGGAAATCATCATTCTCAGTAAACTATCACAAGAACAAAAAACCAAACACCACATATTCTCACTCATAGGTGGGAATTGAACAATGAGAACACATGGACACAGGAAGGGGAACATCACACTCTGGGGACTGTTGTGGGGTGGGGGGAGGGGGGAGGGATAGCACTGGGAGATATACCTAATGCTAGATGATGAGTTAGTGGGTGCAGTGCACCAGCATGGCACGTGTATACATATGTAACTAACCTGCACATTGTGCACATGTACCCTAAAACTTAAAGTATAATAATAATAAATAAATAATTTTTAAAAAAGCAATGTCTCCAGGTAAACTGTGTCTATGTGAGCCTACACTGCCCAGACTTTCCAAACTCCATGCAAATAAATAACTTCACATGCTATAAACATTTACCATTGCTAGGAGGTAGAGAATTCCTTGAACCTACTGTTATAATTTCTGAAATAAACATCTTCCAATAGATCTACAAGTGAAGCTCCTGCTTCAGAAACAAGTTTATGGACATGAAGAGTGAAGGAGAGGAGTTGTATTCGTTTCCCAGTGCTGGCAGAACAAATCACCACAAATGAAGTGGCCTAAACCAACAGAAATGTACTCTTTCACAATTCAGAGGCCAGAAAGCTGAAATTGGTAAGGTTAGTTTTTACTGGAGACTCTAAGAGAAAATCTATTTCATGTTTCTCTCCTAGCTTCTGGTGGTTTCCAGCCGTTTTGGGGATGGATTGGCTCACAGACGCATCTCTCCAATCTTTGCCTCCATCTTCACACAGTGTTCTCCCCTGTGGTCCTGTGTCCAATTTCCCTCTTCTTAAAAACACTAGTAATATTGGATTTATGGCCCATTTAGGTGGGCCCTCGATCCAGTTTTACTTCATCTTAACATGATTATACCTGCAAAGATCCTGTTTCAAACAAGGTTACCTTCATAGGCTTCATGTGGATATGTGTTTTTGGGAGACAGTCCTCAGCCGCCCTCTTACAGGAGGCTTAGGAGAGAATACAGGAGGATTGTAGAAACTAAAGTCAAAGCACAGGCATAGATGTCCTCAGAAAAAGTCAAATTAGTAATCAAAAGTCTGGAAATTGGTAGTGCCTATCACTTGGTCTAGGGATGAAACTTAGAAGTTAGTGGGACTGAAGACAGAAAGCCTGGAAGAACATTTCTCTGCAGAGAAATGAGATAACTAGAGAAGGGTAAGTTGCCATTTAAGATAAGACAGTAAACAAAAATTAAAAAGTTATATTGAAAAGATAAAACAACAACAAATACTGTCATATTATTTTAAAAAGTTACATTTTACTATACTAACAAAAGACGGTATTTTTAAATAAAAAATATGTCCATTACCTGCCTAGGAATAAAAATGTCAGATAATTTTCATAAAAAATTTACCTTAACAAGAGAATAGAAAATAACAATCAAAGTATTCCAGCTGAGAAAATTTACCACTCCCATCACCATAACCTTTATCTATTAATGAAACATATTTAAATACATTGATGAAAGAATGTAATCTTAAAGTAGGAACTTGTCCATGAAATGGTTAGGAATAGGAAACATCAGACCAACTCCATAAAAAATTACAGTAAAGTAAACTAGATAAGAAAAATCAAAACATTTGAGGTAATATAATTCTTTGCACAAAGTAATCACAAAGGAGAAGAAAATTGTACCAATCATAAATGAAGAAAATTTAAATACATTCAAAAAAGCATATGAAAACATAAGAAATAGACTCATATTTGAAAATGTAACAACAGAAATAGCAATATTAAAGTAAATGCAACGATTTTTGACTTAGGCAAGCGAAGAAATTACAGAAAATGAGAAAACAATCTCAGTATAAAGAATAAGTTATAACTTATACCAGAGAGAAGTGATCTGAATAAAAATTTATTAAAACAGACCAACAGGCCCATAATTTACAAGAAATTGGGTAGAGTACTCAGAGGGATCTTAATAGAAATAGCAATAAAATAAATGCTGTTATTTTCTCACCTAATAAATGTTTAAAATAAGGCCAAAAAACAAAATCAAACACTTTCTAAGTAAATTATCAGAGCCTCAGAACAAAACTCAAGAATATTTATAGAAATAAAAAAATCCATGACTCAACAAAGTAAAATTTAAAATGCGTACTAATAGGTCAAAAGTTATCAGCCATGCAGCAGCAGAAAATCACATCCTATAATGAGGAAGAAAACCCATCAATTGAAACTGATCCAAGACTGACACAGGTACTAGAATGAGCAGTCAATGTCTATAAAATAGTTATTAAAACTATCTTTCATTTGTTCAAATTAGAGATATTGAAGATATATAAAAATAACCCCAATTAAACTTGTTGGAGAAAAAATTTGAATAGTTGAGATAAAAATGCATTGGATCAGATTAATTTCAGATTAGATATTGCAAATAAACTTATATAAACATGTTATTGCAAATAAACATATTCATGAAATCAAAGACAATTTTTTATTTCTTTATAAAAGATTCAAAATAAAACAGTGAAAAAAAACTATTAAAAATAGTGGAAGTTTTCTTATAAGCCCTTGACAGGGGAAAAAAAAAGAATGAAAGAATATAAGTAGGTCATGTGGCAACATCAATTTACCTAACATATGTATAATTTGAAAAAACAAATGAGGCAGAGTAAAGGGGCAAAAAATAAATTTGAAGAAATAATATCTGGAAAATTTACAAAGTCTAAATTATGTATTCCACAGATCTAAAGAGTTCAAAAAACCAAAGTACAAAAACATAAAATAACTATTCAAAATTAAATCTTAATCAAATTGTTCAAAACCAGTATTAAAGGGGAAATCCTAGAAGCCAACAGAGAAAATATAATATTTACCAATGTACAGACAGAAGGAAGGCAGCAGATTTTTCATCAGCAACAATGTAAGTAAAATGGCACTTAAGCAATTCACTAAAGGTTCTAAAGAGTTGTTAACCTAGAATTTTATGGTAAGGAAAAAATATTTCAAAAACAAAGGTAGAATAAAGTCTTAAATATACATACAAAAGCTCAAATTATTGTCACTATTAGACACACATGAACCAAAATATTAATGTCCAGAGCTCCTGCAGAAAGAAGAAAAATAATACTAAATGATTTACAAAAAGGAATGAGTGGCATCAGAAATGGTGACTCTATGGATGAATATACAATTTTTTGTTATTGTTTAATTCTTTTTAAAAGATAATTACCTATTTAGAAGAGGATTCCAGAAAAATGTTGGAGTACGGAGCACCAGAAATCTCTGTCCCCACCTAGTCAACAATTGCACTGGCAGAATCACTTTGCTTGACATATTTCGGAACTCTACAGTCTATTGAACAATTATAAATTTCAGAAGGCTTGGATGTAAATTGCAGTTAATTTTGGCTCTTAGCTCAGTATTGATTACTCTTCTCCCAACTCCTAGCTTCATGCCAACAGCTGTGCATGTGTTTCTTGAAAACCCTGCACATAGCTGGGGTGGATGATAAGAATCCTGTCCACCAAACATTAGGAATCTGTGTTTTGTTTACTGCATATAATCACAGATGTGCAGACATGGAGGCAGGCAGAGACTACTGCACTTCCCAGTCGCATGGTTGCAAGTCCTTCACCCTACACCTGAAGTGACATCCAGTAGATCTCAAAGTTCAGTAGCTCCATTCTTCATTTTACTTTTTCCCCTTTGAGAGCCAGATATTAAAGACTAGAACATCCAAAATCAACCACATGTATGAGGAAATTAAGAAGTCATTGTGCACGCCCAGCAGATGATGTATGCTCTAAAAAGACCTGAGGAGACCTTAAGTTTACACCTTAGGCTTATCCTTATAACAGAAATGACCTACAAAAATCCAAACAAAGCCACCATAACAAAAGACAGAGCAAATCCTGAGGAAGAATGAGAATCTTATTTGCAGAACTATTACATTATTCAATTAAAATGTCCAGTTTTGATTTAAAAAAATTACATGTCTTCCAGGCATGGTAGCTCACGCCTGTAATCCCAGCACTTTGGGAGGCCGAGGCAGGCAGATCACAAGGTCAGGAGATTGAGACTATCCTGGCCAACATGGTGAAACCCTGTCTGTACTAAAATACAAAAAATTAGCCAGGCGTGGTGGCACACACCTATAGTCCCAGCTACTCGGGAGGCTGAGGCAGGGGAATCACTTGAACCCAGGACACAGAGGTTGCAGTGAGCCAAGATCACACCACTGCACTCTAGCCTGGGTGACAGAGTGAGACTCCATCTCAGAAAAAAAAAAAAAAATTACCGGTCATACAAAGAAATAGGAAAGTATGGCCCATTCAAAGGAAAACAAAACAAAACAAACAAAACAACAACAACAACCAAACTTTCCCTAAAAAAGAACTGAGAGAAGATCTAAAATGCAGACATTAAAACAACAATCTTAAAGATGCTCAAAGAACTAAGACATAAAGTCAAGAAAACTATGCATGAACAAAAGGGAAATATTAATAAAATATTAGAAAGCCTAAAAAGGAACCAAGAAGTAATTCTAGAGCCAAGAAGTACAATAACTAAAAAATTCACTAGAAGGACTCAAAGGCAGATCTAAGCATAATGAAAAAAGAATCAGTAAACTTGAAGATGAGACAATAGAAATGATGAAGTCTGAGGGATAGAAGGAAAAAAGATTGAACCCAAGTGAACAATGACTAAGAGAATGAGGTACCATCAAGCAGGCTATCATGTGGAAACCCCAGAAGGATAAGAGAGAGAGATAAGAGATAAAGATGAAATTGAGGGTGGTGACCTACAATAGGCAGCACACCTGGACTGAGTTGGTGTGAACATCTTCATACTGAAAGAGAGACTGCAATCCTCCCGTACATTGCTCTTTAACGTAGGGGCCTGTTTTTTGAACTTGAAGTTGATTTCCCACATCGGTTCTTCTCTGGGCCCATTCTGCACCAGAAAAGTAAGCATTTGGAATTCTTTAATGTGCTGGGAGTGGCTTCTGCAATGGCTGGATTCTTGGAGAGTTGAGCCACAAATCACTTATACAGTACAGAGACTGGATCACATATGCCCAGAGACTGCAGCTTCCCCATTGACTGTGGTCACAGGTGCAAAGGCTGAAAAGCATTCAGCATGTAATGCTTTTGATATAACCTGATCCAAAAGGCAGCAGTACAAGTGACAGTCCAGGCATTTTTACAAATGAAGAAAAATTTCACAATATCCTCAGGACAGACGTAGGAGGCGGGAAATAGTAAAATATCCATGGGACACTATGTTGTTCCAGCCCCGTCTAGGTCTCCTGTTTCCTTTTTCTTTTCTTTTTTCTAGAGACAAGTTCTCTCATGGATGTTTTCCTCCTAAGCTGGATCCATCTCATCACTGCTGTTGATGATGTCACAGTGTTCACCTGTCCCAGAAAAAAAAAAAAAAAGCTTCCTCTAAAGGAATCTGGAAGGCTTTTAAGCCACAAATAGGTTTTACTTCCTGCTAAATAGCATTAGTGACTTCCTTCTTGACTCATCCAGACCTCATGATTGCCAGATCTGGGCTGGCATAATCTGCCACAGTCACTAGTCTGGAGCAGGCATCGTAGGCCCAGAACTTGAGTCACTTTCCTCTCTCAGGTATGGCAACCATGTCAGAGCAAGACCAGCCTCGGGGGCTGGGACCCCCAGCCATGTCTTGTTCCAGAGAGCCAGCCCTAGGAGGTGCAGGTCAGCTACACCCAGCTTTGCAGACATCCCACAGGCAGAACTTTCAATTTAATCAATGATGACAATTAAGATCAGTTGTTGCCTGGGAAAGTTGGTACTAGCATGGTAGGTAGGAAACTGTGATTACCACAGGGCACAGAGAAACTTTTGTAGATATGTAGATTATGAATATATTCAATATCTTGAATGTGGTAATTATTGTATGGGATGTATACATTAGCAAACTTGTCAAGTTTTGAAAAATTTAAATAAATGAATGTTATTGTATGTTAATTATACCTAAATATTATATTAATTTTACCTAAAACCATATAGAATTAATATAGAGACATTAGCAGTCCTGTTTTTTTTTTTTTTTTTTTTTTTTTTTTTAGACGGAGTTTTGCTCTTGTCGCCCAGGTTGGGAGTGCAATGGCGCGATCTCAGCTCACTGCAACCTCTGCTTCCCAGTTCAAGCGATTCTCCTGCCTCAGCCTCCTGAATATCTGGGATTACCTGTGCCTGCCACCATACCCGGCTAATTTTTGTATTTTTAGTAGAGATGGGTTTTCACCATGTTGGCCAGGCTGGTCTCAAACTCCTGACCACAGGTGATCTGCCCTCCTGGCCTCCCAGCAGTCCCATTTTTAACATAAATACAGGCAATAAAATTCTCTTTTAAAATAAGATATAGCTTAGCTGTGCTCTCTCTAATTGGAATTCCTATGTGAAAAATGTTAGAGAAAGCTGAGTATTGATAGACATTGTGTTCAGAAGTGAGGTTTAAAATAATGTTGGTTTGGAACTATTCTTTATACAGTTATTTTGTCAGATAATTTGAAGTTGTAATGAAAACAACAGATATAGTAGCTGTTCACCAATAGTGTACCACATTTTGTGGAAGGAGACACATGCCATTATAATCTAATACTTGGTCATGAAGAAACTACAAAAATGTCATCATGATAGTAAGTCACCCATGCTTTTCGGACAAGCTGCAATCTCTGGTTTCTTTTAAAAATTTAGTCCTTAAAGGAGTGTTTCCCAATTGTTTTCTTACTCATTACCAGTTTTAAAGGTGTAAATAGCTTACACACTCATAAATTTTTCAAAGTTCAACTGTTTCTGCTCTATTGAGATACACAGATATGTTAATCCTTAATTGGCAACTTACCACAGGCCAAAATTTAGTACACTTCAGTAGTATTTATGGTTTGATTTATAAAACCAATGTTCCGTTTATTTTACAAATAGTCAATAATATTATAACAGTGAATATGATACTAAAGCTACCTCTCTTAGATTGTATAGGTTTCAGAAATAGTGGAAGTGTTCACCACTTTGGGAATTACTTTGTGGTCAGTTGTTCAGAAGTTATTACAGTTAATAAATATATTTACTTCTATCACTACATGATTACTCTTACCTACATAAACCCCTGTATTGTAGGTTTCTATGTAAATCTATATTTAATCTAACTTTAATCTTTATACTTGCATATAAAAAGCATACTAAAAATCTGGGACAATTGAGTAACTTCAATAAAATGGATAAACAGACATTTTAGTTTCTATAATATATACTATTAATTGACACAATAGGTTTCATTCATTTATTTGTAGTTATGTATACATCAGAGGGTAGATAAAGGGAACATGAATTACTGAATACTTGCCTCAAACTCCAACTTACTCTATATAAGCTTGACTTTTTTACTTTAAATGTTAATTGTTTTAACATGTTAAGTATACTTTTACCTGAGAAATTGAGCAATCACAGAAGCACTAAGACAGTAGTGATCACATTCCAAATAGAGTGTGGGTATAAAATCTTTTCCTTATGCTGCCGGTTTATAGAGCTCATTTCCATGCCCTGTTACTCACTAATGTTATTATGGTTAAATTGGAATCTCGCTGGTGACAATCGCACTACATGAAATTTTTCCTTGTAATTATAATATTAGAAAAGGATATGTTGTGAAAACTATTAGCTTGATTAGTTAAAATTCTAAAATGTGTGCACTTGTTACATTAGCCACGTATTTGTGAAAAATAGTGTCTCTTAATATCAGATTAAAAGTTTAGATCTCGTATTCTAACCAAAACAGATTAAGACCTAACTGACATATATGCATTATCCTTCTGAATGTTCCATTTCTGGCACCTTATTCTTATTTTGCCCCAGGAAAGGACAAATACTTTTTTTATAAACCTGAAGGCATTTTTTAAATGGTCCTTCCTTTCAAATAACTGAAAAAGAACAGTTTTTCTGACTTTAAACTTGCATTTTAAGTTTGTGTTAGAGAAACATTATTCAGACCTTCAGCAGAGCACTGGCTACCGGGGATTTAGAAAACACCCTGGCAAGCGGGCAAAAATATGACAAACTCTTTATTCTTCTAGAATGATTTTCAAATATTAGAGGTCCAAACAACAATTTGCAGAGCTGAATGGTATTTTTCTATTATCAATTTTCTTATATTCCTAGATAATTTTCTCCTCTATCATTTGCTTCATTTAGAGATCATCCATGGATTTCTACCTTATTAATATTACTATACTCTTCCATCTATACCCAACACCATCATAACAAATAAACAACAAACCAATGGGAGAATAAGTAGAAAAAGCATGTACCTTTCTATCTACTCAAGGCCTGATATTAATGAGAAATCAAATAGAATTGACTTCCTAAAACATTTCTACTATCTCTGGTCCTGGCTGTGTTAACTGAGAAGTGCTCCTGAAAACAGGACTTACGTGCAAGTGATTTATTTGAGAAGTTGTTCCTGGAAGCATTAGTGTGGGGTGAGGAATCCATGGGACAGGAAACAGAAGCGACTAAGTAGAGGGTGGAGCCATCAGCCGATCACTGTTGTGGGCAAATGGAGCTCATTCCCAATGGTGATCTCTGGGAAATGGTAGAATTGATATCAGCAAACCACAGCTTTCAGGTCACGCCTGGCACATTGCCTGTTTATGTAGCCCCCATGCACAAAGGGCACCGCTCCCTAGCAGTCTAGCACTGTGAGTTACGGAAAGCAAGCTAAGACATCCCCATTTGCCCGTTTCTCCCAGCACTTGCCTGTTTCTCCCAGCACTTGCCTCATCAGTCTATGACTCGCCTTACTGCTGCACAGGGCCCTTGCCAGCTGCCACCTTTGCATTGGTTGGAAACTTCTGGGCACCTAGCATTGGAATCTCAGTCTAGGTGGGAGTCAGGGACTCGGAAAGTTGCCTGATCACTGTCCAGCTGCCCAAATTGAGTTTGCAAAACTCTTCAGGAAAGAAAGAAGCACAAAGATCTGGGTATTCCTGGAGCACAGAATAAAACTGATAGGTGGAGAAGCAGCCACCATTTCCCACCCCCAGGTATTCCCTCTCTCTGGTTGATTGTTCTTCCTCTGGAAAATTTTTCCAGCTGGGCCAAAGCAGGCCCACCACGTGGGAAGACACACCCCAGGAAAATGAAGCAGGGCATGAGTTTTCTGTCTTTTTACATAAAGTGACTGTACAATAGCCTCAATTTTGCCTCTTGGCAGATAGTACTTACATATTATCCAGCCTATGAAAGGTTAAACAATGGCTCCAAGGAGGTCTCATTCCTAATCCTCAGAATCTGTGAATATATTGCCTTCCCTGGCAAAAGGGACGTTACAGCTGCGATTCATTTGAAGATCTTGAGACAGAGAGATTATCCTAGATTATTCTATGTGTCCAATACAGTCGCAGAGTCCCTGTCAGAGGGAGGAAGGGAGTCAGACAGAGGAAGGCAATATGAACACAAAAATAGAGTCAGTAAAGGAGATAAAACACTACGCTGCTGGTTTTGAAGATAGATAAAGGATCACAATTCAAATAATAGAATTTGGCAAAGGCAAGGAAACAGGGCCCATCCTAGAACCTCCAGAAGTAACCAGCTCTACTGACAGTCTGATTTCAGCCAAATGAGAATGATGTTGGACTTCTGCCCCCGAGACCGGTAAGATAATAAATTTGTGTTGTTTTTATCAACTTATATTTGTGGTGGTTTGCCTCAGCTTCAATAAGAAACATAATCTAAAAGCTTTTTGGCTCCTAGTGTAAAATAATGCTTCCCAAATTTTAGCATATGTAGGGGCTATCTAAAGATTCACTTAAATCAGATCCTGAAGCTCATCCACCAGATATTCCAATTCTGTAAGTCCAAGAGATGCCACTTGGATTTCTAAGAAGCCCTCAGCTAATATGACTGCTTTTAGGGTGTGGAATTGGAATAACCCTCAGGTAGAATGTACTTATAAGTTGTCCTATTTATGAGGCAAGGAAGCTGCTGTAATTTTTCTTTTACACTGTCATTGGATAAGAGCTGCTCCCTGGGCATCCACTTGCTCAGCATTTCCAGCCTGCTTTCTAGGTAAGTGCTTCTGGCAAAGTCATCAGGGGGAGAGTTCCAGGTGCTTTCAGTAGCAAGATTTTCTGAATGCATGGAAGAGTGAGTGCCAAGGTGATATGGAAGAGTACACATAAACTGTCTTTGATCTCTTGTTGCATTACATATACATGGTGAAGAATGGAAGGTTTTTCTCTATCTGAATCATGCTCTTTTAACAAATAATATTTGTTAATCCATATGTTTTAGGATGGTAGGAAGTCTACAGTCCTATTTTATTTACCCTTATTAATTGATCCTCATATCACTGGAGGTGTTGATTTTCTGAGATCATTCACTGTTTAATAATGCTCCTAGACTATGTGAAAGGCTAATGTTCTGTTTTGTAACACCTATTTTCTGTTGGCTATGCTGATTTTGTTTAATACATCGCTGTACCTCTACATTGACTAGGCTTGTTTTCCAACAGTTTTCTCCAATTAGTTTCCCATGTTAACAATATTATTACTGGAAAATACCATTACATTCTTTTTCTCTGTATATATAAAGGCTAAACTATATTATATTTTCAAAATGAGAAAAGAACTTGAAATGATTCTTACCATAAGACCAACTATTATCTTCCCAAAGGGGAAAAAGAGCTTATACCAATAAACAAAAACAAAAAGTTGCCAGAAAGTACTGACATTGGGCATTAGAGAGCATCATGGACAGGGATTGAACCTTGCAGCTGAATGAGCGGGATAAATGATAACAAGCTTTAGCGATAGCAAGACTAAACAACAGGTCCACTAAGGAAAAATAAAATCTGAACATTGTATGTCAGCAATACACTAAGCCTCAGAACAGATTATCCAAGAATGTAACAAAGATGAAATTAGCATTAGTATCTCCAGAGCTTACAAACAACATCATAAAACCAAGATAAGCCATTTTGGTATGCATATAAACAGGCAATGCTAAAGCACTCATTTCTTAATTTAGAAATTGAGATTTAGTTTTAAAAGCTGTACGGATTAAATAAAGATAGAATTCTTTATTCCAATATGCCATATAGAAAATCTTAATGAACATATTGCATGTAAAATAAGAAAGGAACTGGTCTTTGGAAAGGTGAGGACTAAATCCAAAACTGTCTTTAGAGTGTAAAAAATCCGTTTTTATAAGTGAGAAAGCTGCAATTATACCTTTATGTGATTATTGTCTTTAATCCAAAATGTGTTTGGGGTAAAGTTTTAAATGATGTACCAATATAGGAAATGAAGTTTTTTTAATTTGTTTTCAAATTTCAACTTTATCACAGTTCCATAGTATATTAATGTATAAAATTATAAAAGTATAATGACCTCAATTAATCATATGGTCACTGATTTTAAGCTTAGAAATGTAGTTATTTTTATAAATCAATATCCACAAAATACATTTTGTTTTGGTTTGCCATTTTGTCATATTAAAATTTTAAATCTTTTCTATCAAGTTCAAGGGAAAATAAGCAACGTGTAGCACAGATGACAAAAAAAACTCCAATGCAATAGAAACATGCATATGTATTGTATACATACACACATATATTTCTATTGTTACAAAATATAAATATATTATTACAAATATACATATATATACATAAATATACTTGTATCATTACAAAATATATGCTAATTTATTATTTTTACTGGTAATAAAAAGGAATCCAGGGTCAATACTATTTTCCCATAGAACAAACTTAGCTAAAACTTATGCACCACCAAGAATAAGCATTAATCACTTGATTAACATATTATTATATGTGATTTTAACAGCATATATTTTGTATGCAACCAGCTTATTGAAAAATAACTGTAACAAGTTTAACAGTAGCCCCCCAAAATTTATATTCACCTCAATCACAGAATGTGACGTTATTTGGAATAGTACTTCTACAAATGTAACTAAAGGATCAAGATGAGTTCATATTGGATTGAACTGGGCTTCAAGTCCAGTAAGAGTGTCCTTACAATAGACAGAAAAGAACATGCAAACATAGACAAGTGGACATGTGAAGAGAGAGTCAGACATTGAAGTGATGCATCTATAAGCCAAGGGATGCCAAGAATTGCTGGCTGCCCTTAGACTCTAGGGAGAGAGGCATACAACAGATTCTACCTTGAAGCCTCCAGAATGAGCTAAACCTGCAGAACTCTTTGTTTCAGATTTCTGGCCCTCTGGAATGTAAGATAATACATTTATGTTATTAAAGTTATCTAGTTGGGGGTAATTTGTCATGGCAGCACTAGAAAAGTAATATGTAATTAATAAAGAAAAATACAGAAACTCTAACTTTTATACTTTGATGAGAATAACTAGTACCTGAATCAGGAACATTACCAGCAATCGAAAGGGATACCATGTTGTAAAGGTATATGCACACAGACACACACACACACACACACACACACACACACACACACACACAATTTTCATAGGCTAATGTACATTCAGCTTTGTAAACTCATTCAGTTTCCGAAAGTTATTGGAGTACATTATGCTCACATCAGTAAACCACAATACAAATATGCAAGTTTCAGTTTATGTCTTTGCCAATACTTAATATTTTTTGCACGCTTTATAATTAGGTGTTCTAATGAGGGTAATGACATCTAATTGTGATTTCAATTTTTATTTCCATAATTATTAATAAGGTGGAACACCTGGCAATGTGTTTATTGATCATTAGAATTGATATTTTTATGAAGTAATCAGTTCAATTATTCTTTTTCCTTTTAGGTTGTTATCTGTTTTATTGAACTTTAGAAGTTCTTTGTACATTTCACATAATAATACTTTTAGATGAATACGCTAAAATGCCTTCTCCCAATATGGCTTAAATTTCCACTCTCATTTTGATGACTTTTAATAATATTATTAATTTTAATGAATTACAATGTATCAGTCTTTCTCTTATGTTTAATTCCTTATATGTCTTATTTTAAAATATCTTTGGCTACTACAATGTCATAAATATACTCCCACATTCACATATAAGGTTTTACTGTTTCAACTTTTGCAATTAGATATAGAATCCATCTAGATTTAATTTTTGTGTATGGTAAGGCAAAACACACACACACACACACACACACACACACACACATATATATATTCAATTGTCCCAACATTATTTTGTAAAGCTAACCACTTACTTTCTGCACTAAACAATCATTAATATCATAAATCAAGTAACTATATACATGTGAATGTTTCTGAAATTGTCTCCCATGCAGAATATTACATAGTCTTAAATACTGTCACTTCATAATATATAATACATAGTAGTTTTAGCCTTCACTTTGTTGTTCTTAAAATTACTTTGGCTTACACTTGCCCCTTTGAATTCTAGCATATATTTGGGAATCAGCCTGTCAATTCAATAAAGAAAGAAGGGAGAAGAAAAAAAAGGAAAGGAAAGGAGAAGAAAGGAAAGGGAATGGGAAGAAAGGAAAGGGAAGGGAAGGGAAGGAAAGGGAAAAGGGGAGTAAACAGGAAAGGAAAGCAGAAGAAAGAAAATGTCATATTTTAACAAAGAATTCATGACTAAGACCCCAAAAGCACAAGCAACAAAAACAAAAATAGACAAATGGTACATAATTAAGCTAAAAAGCTTCCACACAGCAAAAGAAATGATCAAGAGAGTGAACAAACAACCTGCAGAATGGGAGAAAATATTTTAAAAATGTGCATCCAACAAGGGTCTTATATGCAGAATATATACAGAACTCAATTCAACAACAAAAATTAACAGTTAATCCCATTAAAAAGTGGGCAAAGTATATGAATAGGTATTTTTGAAAAAAAAGACATGCAAATTGTCAACAGGTATGTGAAAAAATGCTCACCATCACTATCATCAGATAAGTGCAAATTAAAACCGCAACAAGATATCATCTTACCCCAGTCATAATGGCTATTAGTAAAAAGACAAAAGTAACACCTTGGCAAGGGTGTGGAAAAAAGAAAACTCTTAAACAGTGCTGATGGGAATGTAAATTCGTGCAACCTCTATGTAAAACACTATGGCAATTTCTCAAATAATTAAAAATAAACCTACCATTTGATCCAGAAATCTTGCTAGAATCTATCAACTCAAAGAAAAAGAAATTATTATATTAAAAAATCTGCATTTGTATAAATTTCACAGCACTATTTACAATAGCAAATATATGGAATCAACTTAAGTGTTCATCAATTGATGGTTAGATAAAGAAAAGATGGTACACATACACCATGGAATACTATTCTCCCATGAAAAATGGAATCGTCTTTTGCAGCAACATGAATGGAACTGGAGACCATTATCTCAAGTGAAACAAGTCAGACACAGAAATATAAATATTTCATGTTCTCACAAGTCAGAGCTAAATAATGTTTACACATGAGTCTAGAGTGTGGAATGATAGACAATGAAGACTCAGAAGGGTGTGGGGGTGGGAGAAGGGATGGATAATGAGAAATTACTTAATGTGTACAACATACATTATTTGAATGATGGATACCCTAAAAGCACTGACTTCACTGTAATACAATCGATGCATGTAACAGAATTTCACTTGTATCCCATAAATTTACATGAATTTTGAAACATGCATGGAACAGTAGATAATTATGAAGAGTGCCGGCATCTTTTGAAAATTGAATCATCCAATTCATAAATTTAATATATCCTCTGCTTATTTAGATATTCTTTGATGTTTAGTAGTAATACTTATATTTTCTGATGGAATTATTGATGGAATATTTATATAAAATTTGATTCTATCAATTTTTAAAAATTTGCTTCTAAATTTTAGTAGTTTATTGACTATTTTGGATTTTTTGAGTATATAACTATGTCATCTGAAAACAGATGCAATTATATTTCATCTTCTTCACTCTCTTTTGTTGCTGGATTTCCCAAAACATATGCTAAGTAGAAGTGAACAGTGAACAACCTTGTCTCATTGTCAATTTCAATGTGAAATTCATTATAAAATATCACATTTTCTATATAATTATTTAAGATATTCCTTATCAGAATAAAAAGTTCTTAGATATACATCATATGAGTTTCTGTTATAATTTTTTATGAAATATATATCTACATGTATGAGATTGTCATTTAATTTTTTTGTTTTGTTTATTAATATAGTTAATTACATTCATTGATTTCCAAATATTAAACTACACTTGCATTACTAGAATAATGTCAGTTTGGGAATTACATGTTATTCTCTTTGAATATCTCTGAATTCTACTTGTTTTAATTAGGTTTTATATCATCTATAATGATGATCGGAATTACTATATAGTTTTCCTTTCCTATTAGTAATGTTTTGGTAGCAAAGTTATACTGGCTTTATGTAATGAGCCTGGAGGTGCCCCCAACCCTTAGTTTTCTTCTGGAACAATTTGTGTTATTTCTTATTTCTTCCGCAAATGTTTAGAAGAATTTACTCTGAAAGCCATCTGGACATTCCTGTGGTAAGATTTTATTTCAGATTCAATCTCTTTAATAGATGTAGGACTATTTAGATTTTCTATATCATTACATAAGTTATTTTAACATTCTTTATTATCTGTTTTACATTTGAAGGCACCATAGTGGTGTCACATTTCAATTGCTACTATTAGTAAATTCAGATATCACTCATTTTTTTATAAATATTAATAGACTTTTTGAAGAACCATATTTTATCATTATTTTTTATTGTACTTCTGTTTTCTGGTTAGTCAATTTCTGCTATTATATTTAATTTGTCTTTAATTTTACTTGTGTTAAGTAGAGATTGGTATGCATTTTGATTCCTGAGATGTACACATAATTTTTCAGTCATCACTAATATACAAATTGAGACTCTAAAGTTTACAATAACTTTTGGATGGTTCATTTAATATTTTTCAATTTAAAATATTTTTTTCTGATTTTAATTGTGATTCATTTTCTAATCTATGAGTTATTTAATAGAAATTACTATTCAATTTCAAAATGTTTGGAGATTTTATTGATTATTTTTATATCCATATTAATTTCATGTGGTTAGAGTGTAACTCTGAATTGATTCAGTACTATAAAATTCATTGATTCTTCAATATCATTAAAATGGCCATACTGCCCAAAGCAATTTATAGATTCAATGCTATTGCTACTAAACTACCAATGATATTCTTCATAGAACTAAGAAAAACTATTTTAAAATTCATATGGAACTAAAAAGGCCCCCGTATAGCCAAGGCAATCCTAAGCAAAAAGAGCAAAGCTGGTGGCAACACTCTACCCAACTTCAAACTTTACTACAGGGCTACAGTAACCAAAACAGCATGACACAGGTATGTAGAGAACCCCGAAATAAGGCAGTACACCTGCAACTGTCTGATCTTTGACAAAACTGACAAAAACAGGCAATAGGAAGAAGACTTCCTATTCGATAAATGGTGTTGGGATAATCAGCCAGCCATATGCAGAATATTGAAACTAGACCTCTTTCTTACACCATATACAAAAACCAACTCAAGATGGATTAAAGACTTAAATGTAAAACTCAAAACTATAAAAACCCTGGAAGGCAACCTAGGTGATACCATTCTGGACATAGGAATGGGCAAAAATTTCATCACAAAGATGCCAAAAGCAATTGCAACAAAAGCAACAGAGCTTCAGTACAAACAAAAGAAACTATCGGCAGAGTAAACAGCCTATACAGAATGGGAGAAAATTTTTGCAAACTACGCATCTGACAAATGTCTAATATCCAGCATCTGTAAGGAACTTAAACCAATTTACAAAAAAAAAAAAAGTAACCACATTAAAAAGTGGACAAAGGACATGTACAGACTCTTTCCAAATGAAGACATCCATGGAGCAAACAATCATACAAAAAAATCTCCGCATGACTGATGATTAGAGAAATGCAATGAGACACCATCTTATACCAGTCAGAATGGCTATTACTAAAAAGTCAAAAAATAACAGATGCTGGTGATGTTGTGGAGAAAAAGAAGCATTTATACACTGTTAGCGGGAATGCAATTTTTTTCAGTCACTGTGGAAAACAGTGTAGCGATTCCTCATGGACCTAAAATAGAAATAGCACTTAACCCAGAAACCCATTACTAGGTATATACCCAAAGAATATAAACTGTTCTGTCATAAAGACACATGCACGTATATGTTCATTGGAGCACTATTCACAACAGCAAAGGCATGGAATAAACCTAAATGCCCATCAATGGTAGACTGAATAAAGAAAATGTGGTACATATAAACCATGGAGCTGTCTTAAAAATATGGTATCATGTCCTTTGCAGGAACATGGGTGGAGCCAGAGGCTATTATCCTTAGCAAACTGACTCAGGGACAGAAAACCAAATGCCGCATGTTCTCACTTACAAGCGGGAGGTAAATGATGAGAACACATGGACATACAGAGAAGAATAACAGGCACTGGGGCTTATCAGAGGGCGGAGGGTAGAAGGAGGGAGAGGAACAGGAAAAAAAAAAAAAACTAATGGGCACTAGGCTTAGTACCTAGGTTATGAAATAATCTGCACAACAAACCCCACGACTCAAGTTTACCTGTATAACAAACCTGCACATGTAACCCTGAACTTAAAATGAAAGTTAAAAATTTAAAGAAGATATTTATTGATTCTTGATTTATGATGCAGACTATAGTAAATGTGCCATGAGAACTGTAGGCAATATGATTTCTATTTTCTTTATATCGTGTTTTGTTGTTATTTTATTCATTTCTTAATGGTGTTTTTCAGGCTTTCTCTATTCCTACAGATTTTTTGTGTATTTTTCATCAGAGAATGAGAAAACTTTTTAATCTTTCACTAAGATTGTGAATTGGGCTATCTCTTTTTAGCTGTGATAATTTTTGCTGTATACATTTTGAAACTCTTTTATCACGAGACTACTTGTTTATATTTGTTATATCTTACTTGTGAACTCACCTATTTTTGAACATCTGTTTTTCATTTTCTTAACCTTTCTGACATAAAGTCAATTTTGTCTAACATTTGTATATCCATATAAGTTGTCTTTTGGCATGTGTGTTTATTGTGTATATTTTTATATCTTTTAATATCAACCTTTCTGTTCTCTTATATTTATACTGTTCTATTATAAGAAATATGCAACTTATTTGTTTTAAGAAAGTCTGAGAATTTTTCCCCTTTAATTGGAGTTTTCAAGCTATTAGATTTAACATAATTGCTGATTATGTTTACATCTACCATCTTACTATTTGATTTTAATTATCCCTTCCCCATTTTTAATATGTTTTATGGTATTTTTAACTAAAATTTTTATTTTTCATTGAAAAATTTTTATGGAAAAATTTTTGAAACATTTTTAGGTTTCAGATGACATGATTTCCCTCTTGGGAAGAGTTACCTTATCCCCTGGTTGAAAGCTAAATGGAAGGATCCCTTCAATTCAAACAGCGAGTGAGCTGAATGGAGGTAGTGTTTCTGAATTTGTAAAGTTCAAACTATATCATGTTTTCCTTCAATTAAGCTTTCTCAAGTGGAAGTCTTGAAATTTTACTAGAATACTTCATTTAGGTAGGTCTTGAACGCCAATATTTATCCCCTTAGCAGTCTGAGGCTACTAAAATAAATGAATAGTCATAATAACTCACAAACAAAAAATTCTACTCTATTTTTGCTTTCTATTAGCCTCACAAAGCTTAAAATGTTGGTTAATGGCTTCAGGGGAAAATAATTAAGTCTAAGAACTTCAATGCTTCATAACTGCCTTCTTTTAGGAATCTTGGTCCTTTAGATGCTTGCTGTCTCAGAAACTATCCTATGATTCTAAATAGACCATAACCAGAAACAAGAATTCACAAATAATTTTTATTCCATGCTTCTGATTTTTTTATAAATGTTTCTGTAAAAGAACTATTCTAAACACATATTTCAGTGAAAATAAATTGAAGGCTGGCCTACAAGAGATAACAGTCTTGAAATCATTTAATCATATTTCAATCTGCAACAAAAAGGCCAAAAATATTGCCACTCTTTTGTGCCTTGAGTCAAAGTTTGCTAATCAAATTCTGTCTAAATGAAGTAAATAATTGATGCTTAAGAGGTTACCTCCTTGGAGGCATTTTAACCAATTATATGAATTATTACAATAAAACTACAAAAACTATATTTCTACTTGGGAATATTGCTCTTTCATTATTCTCCTTCCTTTATATTCAACAACTCTCCTTTTCCATGGAAGTATCCTATTAACATTTAAGTATCACAAGCTTCTCTCATTTAAAAAATAAAATACTCTCTCCAGACCCTTTATTGTTCTTCAGTGGTGCAGCTCTTCTTTTAAAACCAAATGTCTTCAAATAGAAGCATGCAATCCCTCTCTTATTCCTCAATTCTTACTCAATGCAAAGTGCACTAAAGGCACCAAGGACTTCCCCCTCTTAATCCATAGCAGTTCTTCATTCACTGTAGCCCTCTTTTAAGCAGCCAAAGTTATTGACTATTGACTCCTGGGAATGCCATTTTTTCCCTAACTTCAGTGTTGCTTTTTTTCTGGTTTTCCTTTGACCTATCTGGCTACCCTTCCTCAAAGTCTTTTGCAGGCTTTTCATCTTCTGCATTTCTCTTAAACATTAGTGTCTACCAAATTTCTCTCTTATACTTTATTCTAGTCATATTTAATAAAATATATTTAAATTATTTCATCACAAAATATCATTCATTCTGAAACCTAAAACTCAGAGCTCTTTCTTCAACCTCAAATCCACATATTCACTGATTACTGGATGGCACAATTTAAATGCCCCATTAACCTCAAATTTAACACATCACAAGCTGAACTCACTAATTCCCCCCCAACCCCGCTAACTTACTCATCTGTCTGCACTTCCAATGTAAGTAAATGACTACACCTAGTTATCCAAGGAAACTATTGCTTCCAATTAATTACCAAAATCTAGTCATTGTATTTCCCTAAATGTTTCTTGAGATCTTCACCATCTCCACTGCCATTATTCTAGGGCATGCTATAATTATTTCCCTTTAAGATCATGGCAAAGTTTTCTAGTTAATTTTGCTGCATCAATTTTTATCTTCCTAAAATTTATTCTACTCTATGAGGCCAAAGTGACATTTTAAATATTTGAATTGAGGCTGAGCCACCGAAGATGGCTCACTACAGATGTTAAATGTCATTTCTCCTCAGAAAGAAGATCAAAATTACAGGTGAATGGTCATTATCCAAATGGAAACCTGAGGAAATAGAGCCAGGACCTGTCAGAGAGCCCACAGGAAGAAGCCAGGGTACAGAAGAAGAAAGTAGCAAACCTCTGGCAAAGACTGACTTGAGGAGCTCAGAGTCCTACAGAAGGTTTTGGTGAGGGGTCCTTCTCTGCTCCCCTCACTCTTGTGACAAATTGCTGATTACCAAATTGTCAGAGGCCTTATGCCTTTGCAACAACAGGCAACCCTGTCGAAGCAATTTGGGAGCTTCTGAGGGTCAGGACACTGAGTGGCCAGCCTGTGCTAATGCACCTGCACTTCCCTCAGGCCCAAATTGAGACGGCACTTGCCATATTGGTTGTGCACCCATTGTGGGCCACTGCCCTGCTTGGGGAACCTCAGCTCTTATGTCACTGCACTAACAGATCTCCAGCAAACATACCCTAGAACCTGTTTTGATTTTGTCAATTACAGGGGACTTGCAGGTCCATGGGTTCCCCACAGATCTAGCCCTTGGCATGGCCCCCAGCCAGGAGAGGGGAAAATTCAGTCTTCTAAATGCAACCCCAGGAGATGGAAAAATGCAGCCTTGAGACAAAAGAAATGCAGGAATGGTGCCAATTACTAAAGGGGGCAACACCCAGGGCCAGGAAAAGAAATAGACGGGGTGGGAGGGGGGTGATTTCCCACTCCTTCTGTCCACTGTTGTTGATACAGCAGGGGCTTTCCCACCTGCAGTCTCATGCATGCACCCTTGGAGTTAGCCCCGCTAGTGCTTTTTGCAGTGGCTGCACCCTGTTGTAAGTGAGCCATACCACCCAGGCATGCACAAAAAACAGGGCCCGCCTCTTCCTCCTTAAACAGAGTGGTGGCATCCCAGCAATGGTGGGCAAACAAGCCACAGCTGTCTGCTCTGGACAGAGAGAAGTTCTTCTCTGAGCCCATTTGAATGGTAGCCACCAGAGGGGCATTTTTGAGAACCTCAATTGCACAGCAACAAGGAACCCTTCAGCCATCATTAAAAGGTCCCTGAGGCTTCACCAGAAGCTGTGCAGATGCTGGTGTCATGCTTGTACAACTACAGAACCGTAAGCCAAACAAACCTATTTCTGAAAATAAATTATTTTGTCTCAGGTATTCCATTTTGGCAGGGTAAAATGAACTAATACAGTATCCAAGGATAATGATGAAGAAAAATTCATAAAGGCAGATAAAGAGAAGAGTCAAATCATCTATGAAGGGAATCCCATCAGATTAAGAGTGAAATTCTCAGCAGAAACCTTAAGAGCCAGAAGAGATTGAGGGCCATTTTTAGTCTTCTGAAAAAAAAAAAAAAAAATTCAAGCCAAGAATTTTATATCCTGTCAAACTAATCTTCATAAACAAGAAGTAGTCTTTCCCAGACATGTAAACATTAAGGAACTTTGTCACCATTATGCTGGTCCTAAAACAAATGTTCCAATGAATTCTAAATATGGAAAACAAAACACACATAAATAAAATATTCAGAGATCCAATAATGCAATTACACAACTGAGATTACAAAGCAACTAGCTGACAGCATTATGATGGAAAGAAAACCTCACATATCAATATTAACCTTGTATGTAAACAGCCAAAATATTCCACTTAAAAGATGTAGATTGGAAAATTAGATTTTTAAAAAGACCCAACCATCTGCTTCCTACAAAAAATGCAGCTAACCTGTAAAGACAGTCACACGTTCAAAATAAGGGGTAGAAATAGACGTATTGTGCAAATCAAAACAGAAAAGAGCAGGGTTTGCTAACCAGCAATAGTAAATAAAAATAAAAAAAGACAAAGAAGGGTATTAAATAATAATAAAGATTTTAGTTCAACAATCCAACAAGATGACTTAACTGTTCTAAATATATACGTACCCCACATTGGAGCAACTAGATTCATAAAACAATTTCTTCTTGGCCTTCTAAAAGACTTAGACAACCACACAATAAGAGTCAGAGAATATAACATGTCACTTATAGCATTAGACAGATCATCAAGGCAAAAATCTAACAAAGAAATGCTGAACTTAAATTTGACACTTGACCAATTGGACCTAATAGACATCTATAGAACACTCCAACAAACAACCACAGAATATACATTCTTCTCATCTGCACACAGAATGTATTTGAAGATCAATCATATGCTCAGTCATAAAGCAAGCCTCAATAAATTTTTTAAAAATGAAATTATACCAGACACACTCTCAGACCACAGGGCAATAAAAATAAAAATTAATACCAAGAAGACTTTCCAAAACTGTAGTTTTGGAAATTAAACAGCTTACTCCTGAATAGCTCCTCTGGAAACATCAAAATTAAGGCAAAAATAAAAAAAAATTCTTTGAAATTAATTAAAATAAGGATAAAACTTCTTAACAAAATCTCTGGGATTCAGCCAAAGCAATCTTAAGAGGAAAATTTATTAGCCCTAAATGTCTTCATCAAGAAGTTACAAAGATCTCAAATTAACAATCTAACTTTGCAACAAAGGAACTAGAAAAGAAATAATATACCAACTCCAAAGGGAGCAGAAGCAAACAAATAATTAAAATTAGAGAAAAGCTTAATGAAATTGAGATGCAAAAATAAGATCAACTTTCGTTTCAAGGTTTTGTTCTTAGAAAAAGTAAATAAGATGATAGATCACTGCCTACACTAACAAAGAAAAAGAAAGAGAATATCCAAATAAGAACAATCAGAAATGACAAAGGCTACGTTACAATTGTTCCTACAGTAATACAAAAGATCCTCAGAGAATGCTATAAACAACTTTATCCACACAAATTAGAAAATATAAAGGAAATAGATAAATTCCTGAAAGCAAACAATCTTTGAAGACTGAATCAGGAAGAGCTTGAAACTGTGAATAGATCTATGTTAACTTCTGAAATTGTTATCGTCTGTTCAGGGTTCAAGATTTAAGCTAGCAGGGTTGTATTTTTCCAGGAATTTATACACCTCTTCTAGGTTTTCTAGTTTATGTGCATAAAGGTGTTCATAGTAGCCTTTAATAATCTTTTGTATTTCTGTGGAGTCAGTTGTAACATCTCCTGTTTCTTTTCTCATTGAGATTATTTGGATTTCTCTCCTTTTCTCCTTGGTTAGTCTTGCTAATGGTCTATCAATTTTATTTATCTTTTTAAAGAACCAGCTTTTTGTTTCATTTATCATTTGTATTTTTTTTGTTTCAATTTCATTTAGTTCTGCTCTGATCTTGGTTATTTCCCTTTTTCTGCTGGGCTTCCGTTTGGTTTGTTCCTGTTTCTCTAGTTCCTTGAGGTGTGACCTTAGAATGTCAGTTTGTGCTCTTTCAGTCTTTTTGATGTAGGTGTTTGAGGCTATGAACTTTCCTCTTAGCTCCACCCTTGTTGTATCTCAGAGGTTTTGATAGGTTGTGTCATTATTGTCATTCAGTTCAAATTATTTTTTAATTTCCATCTTGATTTTGTTTTTAACCCAATGGTCATTCAGGAGCAGGTTATTTAATTTCCATGTATTTGAATGGTTTTGAAGGTTCCTTTTGGAGTTGATTTCCAGGTTTATTCCACTGTGGTCTGAGAAAGTGCTTGATATAATTTCAATTTGCTTAAATTCATTGAGGCTCGTTTTGTGGCCTATCATATGCACTATTTTGCAATAAGTTTCATGTGCAATAATAAGCAGTGAGATTGAAACAGTAATTCAAAAATTACCAACAAAAAAGTCCAGGACCAGATGGATTCACAGCAGAATTCTATCAAACATTCAAAGAAGAATTGGTACCAATCCTATTGAAACTATTCCACAAGATTGAGGAAGAGGGAACCCTACTTAATTCATTCTATGAAGCAAGAAATGCCCTAATACCAAAACCAGAAAAGAACATAGCCAAAAAATAAAACTACAGTCCAATAACCCTGATGAACATAGATGCTAAAATTCTTAACAAAATACTAGCTGCCTGAATCCATCAACATATCAAAAAGATAATCCACCATGATCAAGTGGGTTTCATACCAGGGATACAGAGATGGTTTAACATACACAAGTCAATAAATGTGATGTACCACAAAAACAGAGTTAATAACAAAAATGACATGATCATCTCAATAGATGCAGAAAAACTATTTGACAAAATCCAGCATCCCTTTATGATTAAAACTCTCAGCAAAATCAGCATACAAGGAACAAACCTCAATATAATAAAAGCCAGCTATGACAAACCCACAGCCAACATAATATTGAATGGGGAAAAATTGAAAGCATTCCCTGTTAGAACTGGAACAAAACAAAGATGCCCACTCTCACCACCCCTCTTCAACATAGTACTGGAAGTCCTAGCCAGAGCAATCAGACAAGAAAAAGAAATAAAAAGCATCCAAATTGGTAAAGACAAGTCAAACTGTCACTGTTTGCTGATGATATGATTGTTTTGTCTCAAAACCCTAAAGACTTCTCCAGAAAGCTCCTAGAACTGATAAAATAATTCAGCAAAGTTTCTGGATACAAGATTAATGTATGCAAATTAGCAGCTGTTCTGTACACCAACAGCGACCAAGTGGAGAATGAAATCAGGAACTCAACCCCTTTACAATAGCTGCAAAATAAATAAATAAATAAAATACTTAGCAATATACCTAACCAAGGAGGAAAAAGACCTCTACAAGGAAAACCACAAAACACTGCTGAAAGAAATTATAGACAAAACAAACAAATGGAAACACATCCCATACTCATGGATGGGTAGAATCAATATTGTGAAAATGATCATACTGCCAAAAGCAATCTACAGAGTCAATTCAGTCCCCATCAAAATACCACCATCATTCTTCACAGAATTAGAAAAAAAATTCTAAAATTCATATGGAACCAAAAAACAGCCCACATGGCCAAAGCAAGACTAAGCAAAAATAACAAATCTGGAGGCATCACACTACCTGATTTCAAACTATACTATAAGGCCATAGTCACCAAAACAGCATGATATGGGTATAAAAATTGACACAAAGACCAATGGGACAGAATAGGAAACCTAGAAATAAACCCAAATTCTTACAGCTAACTGATCTTTGGCTAATCAAACCAAAACATAAAGTGGGGAAAGGACACCCTTTCAACAAACGGTGCTGAGATAATTGGTTAGACACATGCAGGAGAATGAAACTAGATCCTCATCTTTCACCTTACACAAAAATCAACTCAAGATGGATTAAGGTCTTAAATCTAAGACCTGAAACTATAAAATTTCGAGAAGATAATGTTGGAAAAGCCCTTTTAAATATTGGCTTAGGCAAGGATTTCATGACCAAGAACCCAACAGTGAATACAATAAAAACAAAGATAAATAACTTGGACTTAATTAAACTAAAGAGATTCTGTATGGCAAAAGGAATAATCAGCAGAGTTAACAGACAGCCCACAGAATGGGAGAAAATCTTCACAATCTCTACATCTGACAAAGGACTAATATCCAGAATCTACAATGAAATCAAAAATCAGCAAGATAAAAACAAATAATCCCATCAAAAAGTGAGCTAAGGATGTGAATAGACAGTTTTCAAAAGAAGATGTACAAGTGGTCAACAAACATAAAAAAAAATGCTCAACATCACTAATGATCGGGGAAATGCAAATCAAAACTAAAATGAGATATATCCTTACTCCTGCAAGAATGGCCATAATCAAAAAATCAAAAATCCATAGATGCTGGCATGGATATGGTAATCAGGGAACACTTCTACACTGCTGGTGGGAACACAAACTAGTAAAACTACTATGGAAAACAGTGTGGAGTTTCCTTTAAAAACTAAAAGTAGAACTACCATTTGATCCAGCAATTCCACTACTGGGTATCTACCCAGAGGAAAAGAAGTCATTATACAAAAAAGAGACTTGCACATGCATGCTTATAGCAGCAGAATTTGCAATTGCAAAATTGTGGAACCAACCAAAATGTCCGTCAATCAATGAGTGGATAAAGAAACTGTGATATACTACTCAGCTGTAAAAAGGAATGAAAAATGAAAAAACGGCATTCACAGTGACCTAGATGAAATTGGAGACTTTTGTTCTTAGTGAAGTAACTCAGGAATGGAAAACTAACCATCATATGTTCTCACTGATACTTGAGAGCTAAGCTATGAGGACATAAAGGCACAGAATGATACAATGGACTTTGGGGACTTTAGGTGAAGGGTCGGGGGAAGTGAGGGATAAAAGGCTACAAATAGGGTTCAGTGCTTACTGCTCAAATCATGGGTGCACCAAAATCTCAAAAATCACCACTAAAGAACTTACTCATGTAACCAAACACCACGGGTACCCCAATAACCTAAGGAAAAATAAAATTTAAGAAAAAGCTTCTGAAATTGAATCCACAATAAATAACCCACCAACCAAAAAAGCCCTGGACTAGATAAATTCACAGCCTAATTCTATCAGACTTAAAAAGAAGAACTGATACCAATCCTACTGAAACTATTGCAAAAAGTCAAGGAAGAGAGGCTACTCCCTAACTCATTCTATGAAGCCAGTGTCAGAATGATACTAAAACCTAGTGGAGATAGGACAACAACAAAAAACTTCAGGCCAATATCTCCCATGAGCACAAATGCAAATTCCTTAACAAAATATTAGCAAACTAAATCCAGCATCATATCGAGAAGTTAATAGACCACAATCAAGTAGGCTTTATTCCTGCAATGCAAGGCTGATTCAACATATACAAATCAATAAATGTGATTCATAAAGAGAATGAAAAGCAAAAAACATGTGATCATCTCAATAGAAGCAGAAAAAGCTCTCAATAAAATTCAACATTACTTCATGATGAAAACTCTCAACAGACTAAGCATCAAAAGAACATACCTCAAAATAATATGAGCTATATATGACAGATCAACAGCCAACATCATACTTAATGGGCAAAAGCTCAAACTATTCCCCTTGAGAAATGGAACAAGACAAGGATACCTACGCTCACCACTCCTATTCAACATAGGAAGCCCTAGCCAGAGCAATCAAGCAAGAGAAAAAATAAAAGACATTCAAATAGGAAAAGAAGTAAACATCTCTTTTTGCTGATGATGTGATTCTATACCTAGAAAACCGAAAATGCTATGGCAAAGCCTACTAGAATGATAAATGACTTTAGTAAAGTTTCAGAATACAAAATCAATGTACAAAAATTCAAAACATTTCTATACATCAGCAAGATCCAGGCTGAGAGTGAAATCAAAAACACAATCTCACTTACAATAGCCACAAAGAAAATAAAATACTTAGGAATACAACTAACCAAGGAAGGTCTCTATAAGGAGAACTGCAAAATACTGTTGAATGAAATCAGAGACAATACAAATGTAGAAACATTCCAAGATCATGAGTTGGAAGAGTCAGTATTATATAAATGGCCATTCTGCCCAAAGAAATTTACAGATTCAATGCTTTTCCTGTTGGAATACCAATATCATTCATAGAATTGGGAAAAAAATTATAAAATTCATATGAAACCAAAAGAGAGCCCTTACAAATAGCCAATGCAATCCTAAGCAAAAAGAACGAAGCCAGAAGCATCAAACTACCTGACTTCAAATGATACCATAAAGCCATAGTAACAAAATAGCTTGGTACTGGTATGAAAAGAGACACATGGACCAAGGGATCAGAATAGAAAACTTAGAAATAAAGCCACCTACCTGCAACCATCTGATCTTCAACAAGGCTGACAGCAGCAATAATGGAGAAAGGACTCCCTTTTCAATAAATAGTGCTGGGATATTTGGCTAGCCACATGTAGAAAATAGAAGAAGCTGGACCCCTCCCTTTCACCATATAAAAAATTAACTCAAAATGGATTAAAGATTTAAATGTAGGACCATAAACTGTAAAAATCCTGGAAAACAACCTAGGAAATACGCCAACATTGGCAAAGAATTTTTGGTTAAGTCCCCGAAAGCAATTGCAACAAAAACAAAAATAAACAAGTGGGACTGATATAGTTTGAATATTTGCCCCCACCCAAATCTCATGTTGAATTGTAATCTCCAATGCTGGAGGTGGGGCCTAGTGGGAAGCATTTAGATCATGGTGGCAGATCCCTCATGACTTGGTGCTGTCTTCATAATAGAGTTCTTATGAGATCTGGTCATTTAAAAGTGTGTGGCACCTCCCCCTTCACTCTCTCTCTCTTCCTTCTGCTCTGGCCATATCACATGCCTGCTCCTCCTTCACTTTCTGTCATGATTATAAGCTTTCTGAAGCTTCCCCAGAAGCTGAGCAGATGCCAGCACCATGCTTCCTGTACAGCCTGCACAATTGTGAGCTATTTAAACCTCTTCTCTTTATAAATTACCCAGTCTCAGGTCTTTATTTCAATGCAAGAATTGCCTAATACAGGGACCTAATTAAACTTAGTAGCTCTGCACAGCAAAGGAAACTATCAACAGAGCAAATAACCGAGAGAATGGGAGAAAGTATTAGCAAATGATGGATCTGACAAAGGACTAACATCCAGAATCTATAGAAAATCTAAACAAATCACAAGCAAAAAATAAATAGGCCTATTAAAAAAAAATTGGCAAATGACATAGGAAGACAATCCTCAAAAGAAGACATTCAAGTGGCCAACAAATACACAAAAAAAATTCTCAGCATCACTAATCATCAGAGAAATGCAAATCAAAACCACAATGAGATACCATCTCACACCAATCAGAATGGCTATTATCAAAGTCAGAAAACAACATGCTGTTGAGTCTGTGGAGAAAAGGGAATGCTTATACACTATTGGTGGGAATGTAAATTAGTCCAGCCACCGTGGAAAGCAGTCTAGACATTTCTCAAAGAATTTAAAACAGAGGTACCATTTGAAGGAGCAATCCCATTGCTGGATATATATCCAAAGGAAAATAAATAATTCTACCAAAAAGACACATGCATGTTTATGTTCATCACTGTGCTATTCACAGTAGCAGAGACATGGAACCAACCCAGGTGGCCATCAGTGGTAGATTGATTTTTTTTAATGTGGTATATTTACACTGCAAAATACCGCTCAGCCATAAAAAGAATAAAACCATGTATTTTGCAGCAACATGAATACAGCTGGAAGCCATAATCCTAAGTGAATTGACACAGGGACAGAAACCAAACACAGCATGTTCTCACTTATAAGTGGAAGCTAAACACTGAGCATACATGGACATAAATATGGGAACAATACACTCTGTGGACTACTAGAGGGTGGAAGGAGGGGGTGTGAGTTTAAAACCTTCCTATTGGGCACTATGGTCACTACCTGGGTGACAGGATCCATACCCCAAAACTCTGGTCAAACAATATTCTCATGTAACCACCTGCACATGTACACTCTGTATCTACAATAAAAGTTGAATTTTTTTTTTCTTTTTTTGTTTTCTTTCTTTCTTTTTTTTTTTTTTTTTTTTTTTTGAGAGACTGAGTCTCATTCTGTGGCCCAGGCTGGAGTGCAGTGGCACGATCTCGGCCCACTGCAACCTCCACCTCACAGGTTCAAGTGATTTTCCTGCCTCAGCCTCTCAAGTAGTTGGGATTACAGGCACCCTCCACCAGGCTTGGCTCTTTTTGTATTTTTAGTAGAGATGGGTTTTCACTGTGTTAGCCAGGATGGTCTTGATCTCCTGACCTCGTGATCCGCCCTCCTTGGCCTCCCAAAGTTCTGGGATTACAGGCATGAGCCACTGCGCCTGGGCGAAATTTTAAGTATAACAAGTTTATTATTACAAAGTTTACAGATTTCCTACAGTATTATTATTATTAGCACCAGATTATTTGAAAATCTTATACTTCTGAGCTGTAGTTATTTATTCATCCATTAATACATTAATTCATTTTTTCATTAATCTAATCAGTCATTCACTTATGCATTCATGTCTATTCATATCTGGGATCTATTGGTTATAATACAAATTTGAAATTATTAATAGACTTTTGATATCAATTATAGTACATATAATTTATCTGACTAGGTACCAATAAATTCAGTCATGATCCATTTTAAAATCCAAATGTAAGGCTGGGCGCGGTGGCTCACAACTGTAATCCCAGCACTTTGGAAGGCCAAGTCAGGTGGATCATGAGGTCAAGGGTTCGAGACCAGCCTGGCCAACATGGTGAAACCCCGTCTCTACTAAGAATACAAAAATTAGCCGGGTATTGTGGCGCATACTTATAATTCCAGATACTCAGGAAGCTTAGGCATGAGAATCTCTTGAACCCGGGAGGTGAAGGTTGCAGTGAGCCGGGATTGCGCCACTGCACTTCAGCCTGGGCGACAGAGCAAGACTCCATCTCGAAAAGAAAAAAAAAAAATCCAACAGTATACAAAAGGGATAATTCAATATTTGTAAAGGATTTCAAAGAAATGAGTCATATTTCTTCTATAAGAGGAGTAACAAGTGGAAAAAATAACCTCTACAATAATTTTTAAAAGAAGAAGAGTTTAAAAGTGTTTTCAATCACTATAAAAGCACTATTTTATTCTGAGATTCTTTATTACTGATTTGGCTATTATCCAAAGATAACTTTTTAAATGTTAACTCAGAGAAATTAAATATACAATCAAAGATCAAAGAATAATTTGACACATGAATAAGACTTGAATTATAAAATTTAGAGAAAAACTCAAATTGGAAAATGAAGACCTCTGAGTTTTGAACTTCACACTCTCATCTTTCATGTTGGAAGATATTTTCCATTAGTACAAGTGTGACTGAAAAACCAAATCATGGCTTATGTTTCTCTCCTCCCATTTCTTTCAAAACCTGTCACCATCCTGGGCTCTGTTTTTTAATCTAATGGGTAGCTTGATGCCTATTTTTAGAAAGATCCACCCCATCTCCAGTTTCTGCAGTCCCATCTGGTCAGTCCGCTGCTCCTAATGGTGCAGGCAGTCAGAATATCTGCCACGGTACCTCTGGTTCTTTTTTGCTGAGATTGTTGTGCAATTGCTCTTGACTGTGGTCTTGTTTCAGCTACATGCACAGCGTTTCTGTCCTTCAAGACCCTTGCCCTTTGACACCTTCAAGCCTTGGCTCCCAGCATTATACTATTGTGATTTTCTTTCACCTGTCTTCTGTTTATCCAAATCCAACTTATTTCCCATGACCCAGAATAAGTCTCATTTACTTCATTGTAGCCTCTTTTGATTACTTTAGCTGACACTGACCTTTTCATTCTTTCTCTTCTATTATGTATGTAGTTCAGTTTCACTGTTTGTGTCATCAATATTCTCTAATTATTTCATATTTTTTTCTATCACCACTACAGGTACATTATTAGCCTCTTGAAGTCAAGGGTCATGCTCTATATGATTTTTTTTTTAATATCCATGACAGTAACTCACACTGAGCTGAGAACAAAATGTTTGCAAAGGAAAAATTTGATTTATTCTTGCTTACATATCAACAAATATAACAACTCAAACTCAATTTTTCAGCAATTTTTAATATAAAGTACTGTGTAGATGTCACTATACTAAGATTTTTGTAATAAACAGGATTTATGCTAGTCATATTCTTCTTCTATTTTTCTTTTCCTTTTTTTTTTTGTATAGTCCAGAGATGGTAATGATAGCATAATTTTGATCTATACAAATCTCAAATGATTCTAATAACTCCATACTTATTATTCTCAAGGTTCTCTGCCATGCAAAATGACATCTAAATAACATGTTATAGCTCATAAGAACAATTATTAACTCTTCTAGAGGTAATTGACTTATCCTAGGTGCAATTTGGTTGATGAGAATGAGCCCCATTCTGACCCCTATGAAATTTGGGAGATAGCCCACCAGCTGTACTGTCTCTTCCTCCCACCAATATATTATATTTGACCTACATTTTACTTAATACCAGGTTCTTAGCCCTCCTTGGTCTCATGGTTTATTATACGGCCTTTTCTCTTAAACCCTCTCAAAACCAAAACCAAAACAAAAATTCCTAAAGGCTTTATGTGTGAAGACTCTTAAATGTTTGCCATTTCCCAAATACAAACTTCCTGGGTTCACCCCTAATATGTTCCTTTCCTTCCAATATATGAGCATCTTAATGTCATCTTTACTCATTACTGCATTGCCTCCCAAAAGCCTCTACCCCATGATTTTATATCATCAATTGAGATTTCCTGTTTCAAAATATACTAATAAGAATTACCACCTCTTAGTCTTAGCAGATATATATGTTCATACTCTGTAATGTTATCTCCTGCCTCCAAATCTCAACATAAAAATTATTTTATTCTTACTAAAATTCTTAAAAATAGCATATATCTTCTCTCAGCTTATTTACTTCCCATTTACTTCTCAACCCAGTAAAAGTGACATATTGAATGCACAGTATCTGTATGGATGACATGGATTAGTTTCATAGCTTAAACCATTTCCTACCAAGAAAAATTAAACTTACCTGCCCTCCATTGTGTAACGTTCAGATTTAAAAACACTAATAATTTCATGTCATTGTTTTGAGGATTAAATCAGTAAAAAACATGGAAAGCAATTAAAACAGCACCTGAAACACACTAAACAATTTTTCTTCCTCCTACTCCTCCTTTTCCTCTCCCTATCATTATTATTAGTACACATGCAATTTTTGTTTGTTTGTTTTACTTTAAATTCTGGGATACATGTGCAGAACGTGCAGGTTTGCTACATAGGTATACATGTGCCATGGTGGTTTCCTGCACCTATCAACCCGTCATCTTGGTTTTAAGCACCGCTTGCATTAGGTATTTGTCCTAATGCTCTCCATCCCCTTGCCCTCCAGCCCCCAACAGGCCCTGGTGTGTGATGTTCCCCTCCCTGTGTCCAGGTGTTCTCATTGTTCAACTTCGACTTATGAGTGAGAGCATGCAGTGTTTGGTTTTCTGTTCCTGTGTTAGTTTGCTGAGAATGATGATCTCCAGCTTCATCCATGTCCCTGCAAAGGACATGAACTCATTCTTTTTATGGCTGCATAGTATTCCGTGGTGTATATGTACCACATTTTCTTTATCTAGTCTATCATTGGTGGGCGTTTGGTTTGGTTTGTTCTAAGTCTTTGCTATTGTAAATCGTGCTGCAATAAACATACAACACATGCATTTATTTTAAGGAACCTAATGATCTTCCATTTTTCAAATCCAGTGGGAAACTTTTCTTCCCTTTGTCTCCCTCTCTGCTATGTTCCATTAATTCATTCAAGACATATTTACTGAGCAACTAATAGGTGTCAAGAATTGAGCTAAGTTTATGATATGTGATAAATAAACTAAGGAACCCTACCCTTCTCCATAGCTCTCAAGCTAGAGGAAAATAAAAAATGAAAAAAAAACAATAATGAATAAGCAAACAAGCAAAAACAAAATGAAGATGATTGTGATAGAAAAAATAAATAAAAGGAACCAGTTACTATAAAAGCAACAATGAAGACTTACTATAGACAGGGTAGGCTTGGAGGTCTCTCTATGAAGATCATACATAGACCTAAAGGATGACGAGGAGGTGGCATAACAGGAGCAGACAAACATTTGAGGCAGAAGAAGACAATGGTGCAAAGCTGTACTGTCAAAAAATGTCCACCTCCCCTCCGTCTATCTCTATTTTCTCCCTCAGTTTCCATAAACTACTGCCCTCTTTTACAACCCCTAACTCTCTGATAATCATATTTCAGTTTTCTAATGCTTTTCCTTTACTACCTACATCATATTAGGGGTTTAAGATTTTACCTTCTGCCAGGCACAATGGCTCACATCTGTAATTCCAGCACTTTGGGAGCCAAGGCGGGTGGATCACCTGAGGTCAGGAGTGCAAGACTAGCCTGGCCAACATGGCAAAAGCCCCTCTCTACTAAACACACACACACACACACACACACACACACACACACACACAAAATTAGCCAGACATGGTGGCACATGACTGTAATCCCACTTACTTGGGAGGCTGAGGCTGGAGAATCGCTTGAACTTGGGAGGCAGAAGTTGCAGTGAGCCAAGATCACACCACTGCACTCCAGCCTTGGTGACAGAGCCAGACTCCATCTCAAAAAAAAAAAAAAAAAAAAAAACGATTTTTACCTTCAGATTATTTTGCTTCAATTTTGAGGTTCCTACTGTATTTTCTCATACATTATCATTCTTTTTATTAGCACTTATGTGGAATTGACTATCATTTAAACCATGGTTATTTCACAAAACTTCAAATTTCTAAATGTAACGTGTCCCAATCTCATTCAATGAACTTTTATCCTCAATAAATTCTGTTTGTGAATTGTCTATAATCATCAATAGCATAAACATCTACTGAAGCACCTAAACTACAAACCTAAAGAATCATTTATGATCTATTTTTCTTTCTTCTTTTTAGCCAAATTCTTTTCTTTTCTTCTTTTGTTCTGGCACTCAGGCCGGAGTGCACTCCTGCATTGATGGCTCACTGCAGCCTCAACCTCCCAGGCTCAAGCAGTCCCCTCACCTCAGCCTCCAGAGTAGCTGGGACCACAGTCCCCTCACCTCAGCCTCCAGAGTAGCTGGGACCACAGGCTCCTCACCTCAGCCTCCAGAGTAGCTGGGACCACAGTCCCCTCACCTCAGCCTCCAGAGTAGCTGGGACTACAGGCATGAGCCTATAGTATTTTTAAAATTTTTGAATTTTAAATTTTTAAAATTTTTTGTAGAGATGGGGTCTCACAATGTTGCCCAGTCTAGTCACAAACTCCTGGACTCAAGAGATCCTCTGGCCTCAGCCTCCCAAAATTTTAGGATGACAGACATGAACCACTGTGTTCAGTCAAATTATTTTCTATTTTGCGTGTTTTATGTAATTTTTGTTTTCAGGTTCCATGCACACTATTTTCCTAGTTCAGTAATTTTTCATATTTTTCCCTGGTAATTAATTCCTGGTTCAGGTCCATCTTTTTCAGCTGAAAGATTATGGATCTTTAAGTGATCTCTCTTTCTCCATTCTTGGCCAACCTGTTAATATGCCACAAAACATCAAAAGTAATCTAAAATAAAACATGACTATACCACACCTGTATTTACATTTTCTGTGCTCAAATATATACAAGGGTCCCATGACCTGGCCTTGCCCAAATTGCCAACCTCAAAATCTGTGTCATCTCTGTCCCATTAAGGAAATATGAATGTGCCAATTGCTCTCAATACAGCATCATTTTCTTCTTGCTACGTCTATTCTAACAGTGATCTTTTCAACCTCTCTTTTCCTGGTTAAATCCAAATCATACTCTAAGAAATATTATCAACTTCTTTCATAATTAACTTTATTCATAGGACTTTCTTACTACTTCACTCCAGGATTGCCTGAAAAAAAAAGCCTTTACTTGCGTGAAAATAAAGAAAGTGACTGCCAGCTGCTCAAGCCAACTGTCTTAATATAAGGAGACCCCATAATTCGATGTGTTTAGAGAATGAGCAGCATGAAATAGGAAAATGAAAATCAAACACAATCACTGATCCCTGGGAAAACATATAATTAAAGAGACTAGAGATGATATACTTTAAACTTTGTATATTATTTGAAAATACAAAGCATTCATAAAACATTGTTATGTTAATGCAAAGGAATAAATATCAGATAACAAGAATAAATAATTGGTATTAGAAATATGATAAAAGTCCAAGAATGAAAGAATAGAAAAAAAAAGATGGAACGGAAGTAATTACCAATGAAATAGTAGACAACCATTTTTTTCAAAGAAGAAACAGGAAAAAAGCCTTAGTTCCATAAAATTCCTGAAATATATGCCTAAATAAAAGATGCTGTTCCATGTAGGAGAAAATGAGACCAGTACAACATACTGCTAGACTAATTATCAGAAAAAGTAATGCAAGAACACCATAGAGAAATGTGTTGGTGTTTATGAAGGAAAATTTGCAATCTAGAAAGAAATGGCCATAAAACAATAATGAAGGCAACAAAGCCGCATTCAAATATTAATGGACAAACATTGTCTGTGGCACACGCACCCCTGCCTCAGTATGTTCTCCAGAAACATGAAACAAAATTCAAGAAGTAGAAAGGTGCAGGATCTTGAATATCATAGACTCTAACATATAAAAGCAGTAAAAAGAAGGTCCCAAACTGAAGGCCTGGAGAACATCAAGCTGCTATGTAATCCAAGTGCCTACCACAATATCTGACTTCTAGTATGTACCTAAAAGTATTGTTTAAGAAATGAATAAGAAATAATTGAAAAAGATAATGGAAGTTTCCATAAGACAGGATCTAGGCATAAAAGACACTTGGTAGTGTAAAAATGTTGACTGAAATCTTGTGAATCTTAAGGGTGTGATAAATACCCCCCTCCACACACAAACGTACACGCACAGACAGCAACAACAGCAAAAACTAACAACTCAAAATCAAACAAGCAAAACAAAAAGTCTAATACAAATATTTTTAAATGAAACTGTGACAGATTTCTTAGCAAACGAGATTTTTAAAATGGAATATATTTAATCCTAATGCTAGGTACTAAGAGTGGCTCAGGTTTAAGGCAATGAATAGGCAAGAAGTAAATGTAATCTTAGTGAAATAATTGGTAGCAATTTGAATAATATTAAAATAATCATGTTTGCTTTCAAATATAAAAGTCAGCCTATGAACAAGACCAAAAGTCTTGATTGTAGCTGCAAGACAGAGTATAAACAGAAGATAGGACTTGAAATAGTCAAGAATGATAGAGGAAAAGATGGCATTTCTAACATACTGTATTACAAAGTGAGACTCAGAAAATACCATCAATGTATACCACATCTTCTTTTTTATTCTATCATCCATTGATGGACACTAAGGTTGATTACATATCTTTGCTATTGTGAATAGTATTGTAGGCACCAGAGACTCAGAAGGGTGATAGTGTAGGTGGGGAGTAAAGGATGAGAAAGGACTTAATCAGTACAATGTATATTATTTGGGTTATATTTACACCGAAAAGTCAGACTTAACCACTACTCAATATATCCATGTAACAAAACTGCACTTATACCCCTTAAATTTATACAAATAAAAAAATACTGACAAAAATACATGAAACAGGACAAATAGTTTTTATAACATTTATTCAAGTTTTTATCTTAACAAATAAATTCAAAATATAAATATGAATGCTGGAAATAAACGAGGTGGTAAATGTTAGATAAATCAAGGCCTGAACATATGCTATCCGAATCTGACATGACAGGAAGAAAAGACTAGGCATACTTTCAAGAATTATGCAGGCAATCGCCAAAAGAACTAAAATAGGAGTAATAAATAGTTTGCCTCAAAGAGTGGGTCAGAGGTAGGAAAGGTAGGGTTTTGAAAATATGTCTTTGGCTCATAAGTTCCTTTGTTAAATTTTATTTTTCATTGTGTACATGTATTATTTTGGTAAAGATTCATTTTAAACTATACATGTAAGTTATATGTTGCTATATATACAGTAGGCCTCCCTTATCTGCTGGGGATATGTGCCAAGGCCTCCAATGGATAATCCCTGAAACTATAGATGATACCAAACCCTATAAATCTTATGTTTTTTTCTGTACTTACATACCTACAATAAAGCTTAATTTATAAATTAGGCACAGTAAGAGATCAATAACAATAGCTAATAATAAAATAGTATAAGAATATACTCTAATAAATTATATGTGTATGTGGTCCCTCTCTCAAAATATATTATTGTATTGTACTCTACTCACTCTTCTTCTTGGGATGATGTAAGATGATCAAATGCCTACATGATGAGATGAAATGAAGTGACCTAGGCATCTGCTTTTGGTGCCTGGATCACTGAGCCATGACGATGTCAGTGGTTAGATGTCAGGGGTAGATGATGTTGATGACTAACGGGCCAGAGCATTCACAGCGTGGATATGCTGTGCGAAGGGATGACTCATGTCCCCAGAGGAACAGAGTGAGATGGTGAGAAATTTTATCACACTACTCAGAATATCACACAAATTGAAACATGCAGATTGTTTTATTTCTGGAATATTCTATTTAATATTGACCAATGACTGAAACCATAAAAAAAGAAAAATGAAAAAGGGGAGAACTACTATAAATTTCAAACTGTGAAATTGATTTGTATATCTCTTAAAAACTGTTGTATATCGGAGCAGCTTATTTAAATACAACTGTTCAAGCCGTAATTAAGTTCAAAATGATAGACAAATAGAAAATGTCTCCCTAACATGGTATGGGTTTCGCTTTTTTTTTCCCCATTAGCAGTTGCAATTTTTTCCCAGTAGAAGCTACAAATAAAATTTGTTTATTTAAAGAAAACACATATACATTTTAAACCATGGCACAGGAATTGTGTTTTCACTTTGTTTTTGCCTTGATTTTTGTAAAAAGCAGAACTTGGACAAATGGTGACAGAAGTGCTAAGTCAACAGAAATCAAACCACACCCTTTATTTGTTATTTCTCTGTGTTTTGCTTTTGTATTTATGAATTAGCAAATGTTTATATTTTAGGCCAAAATATTCATTCTATAATATATTACAAGTCCAAATATCCAGAAGGATTTACAGTTAATAGTTGTCAGTAGAAATTTGAATACTAACTTGCTTCAATAATTTGGTAATACTTCTTAAAGCTCTGATTTTAGTCTAAGACTGATATTCATACATAATTTGTACATTATACCTCACCTCAAAAATGAGAATAAAATAATATATATGGGATCTAAATCTACCTAGATACAGATATTTTCACATGTGTACCTAAATAATAACTTTAAATATAGTCAATTGTATTTCCTTGATAAGTTCAAGAAGAAAACTTCATAAATAAACTCCTTATGAAGCCTCAGGCAATCTGAAAGGCAAATATAATTCCATTGCACATGCTCATATATGTATGTGTGTCTGTATATCTATATGTGTGCACATGTTATAATTTTGCATTGCATCTTGGGATCATTTATAGAACATTTACCTTCATAGATTTAAACAATCCTTCTGTCATATATTTAGATGAAATTTAACTTTACACATAACATAAAATCCAACAATTCAAGATTTCTGAAGAGAGAATAAACTATCATTAGGTATAACATTCTCTTTTACTTCAATTTAGTTATATTCTCACAATCTTTAAAAAGTTTTAATACAGTATTATGTTAATCTCATTCTCCAAAATAAAGTAGCATGAAACAGACCATCAACGCTTAACTTCAGGATCTGAATTATACATAAGATAAGCTGAGATTATAATATTAATTCCCAAAATACCATCCCAACTATTTATCTAAGTTTTAGGTTAATAGAGTTAAGAAACATTTAAGACTTCAGAATAAAACTGACTTGGTTCTATGTACATAGCAGATGTGCTTAGAAGTATTTTTTTAAATGACTGAATGAGTGAATGAATAAATATGTGAATAATCTTTATCTAGATAACTTCTTTGGCTATGAGGTACAGTTACGGGAAAAAAGGTGTTGTTCAACATCTTTTTAAATGCATTTAAGTAGGGTTATATCAGAGACAGGGACATATTTTAACAAAAGTGGACCTTTTTTTGTTTGTCCTTCTCATTCCTATCACATGAAATTTTGAAAACATCCATTTGCTACTCAACAATACATTTCTAAACTCGTAGGCTGCATATATAACCTGATTTAGGTGTATTTTTCTTTCTTTTTATTTTTTGCTGTAATTTACCAGTGAATTGAAGTGCTCTGGTTATAATATAATTTTAAGCCTCATAGAGGTAATGGGTATTTATATGGTGAGTTTTAAGACTATGAATTTTCTATTTAATCACAACTGAATTTAGTTTGTTTCCAAGTTGTCACATACGCTAAAAAATGCCCATGAAGATAATGGCAAAAACAGAAGCCTCTTCCAAACAAAAGAGTCCTATAAATAGCCAGGGAAAAGTTCATTTTCAGTATTCTTGGGTTTTTATTGTTGACCCCTCATAGTTCAAATTTTGTTTCAGAAACATAGTCAAATAACTTAGAGAAAATAATTGTACGGGCTTCTCATTGATTGTAAAACAGTCCCCAGGCAAAGTCAGGACAAGCAGATCTGATTCTTACTTTCCTGAAGCAGCAAGAGGACAGGCAAAAATATTAGAATTGCCCAGCAATTATTCCACAAAAAACACACTTATAAGTGAAAGATTCTGGTCTATCTTCCCAGCACTTGTTCCATTTTTCTCTTCTTCAAATATGCTATGTTAACAGAAACTTCGAATGAACTTTTTAAAGATAGTTGAAAGATATCTTACAGAGAGGTGAGGCTTAGTGTCTGATTCACCTTTGGCTCAAGAACAGTTCACCAGAATAATAGTTTCAAAAGAAATGCTATTGTTATTGTTAACTGAACAATCAAAATATGTACTTTTAAAATATGAGGCAATATCCTGTCCTCTCATAATTGGAGCAAAAGTAACACACTTCCGTTTAAAAAAAAAAAAAAAAAGTAAAGCTAAAGGCAGAGAACAAATTGTCCATCATGAAAGCAGCTGGCATACTAAAAACTGTAAAAGCTCCAGCTGGTAGCTCACACTATCACCAACTAGCCAACTCTTCACATTGGAAAAGTGCTATATGATTTTATGTGAGAAAGCAACAAAACAGATATTTGTGAATAAATATTGGTTTGACAGGAAGTCAGACAAACTACATTTTTTACTCAAAGACATGTACTTAAGCACAAGGTGCCAAACAGAATGTCTATTTAAAGAGAAAAAAAATGGAGAGAAAATACACATCAGAGTGTAACTGAAGCAGATGGTGTAAATTGGTCCTTTGTTAGTCTTATAAAGTTTAAATAAAAATATCCCAAATTGGAGGGTTATTTTAAGTCATTTTATCAGAAATAAAACAATTTTAACATAACATCTACGACTTCTGGAATTATGTTTTCTTCAATTTCCAGTCCTTTGAAAGACACTTCTCATTCAACATACTCAACCAAAACAAAACTCATGTAACTAAACTGTTTTAAATATAGGGGTCTCAGAAACCTAATATTTATTGCTTCCAGGATAAGCACTTAGCCAATGCAGAGTACATAACTGCCTTCCTCATGTGAGGTGAAACTTTTTTTTTAAATGAGGCCTCCTTATTTAAAAAGTTGTTTTTAAATTTTTAGAGATAAGACACTCCTTCTCCAGAAGATCCTCTTAAAATACCAATATTGCATTAACTCTTCATCCATCCTTTACTACCCCGGCATGTATTTATGTATCATATTAGCTAGTCATGTCCTCAAAATACATATATTCATTTATCGAAAGGATGAGACTTCACAAAGGTAAATTTGGATATGGTAAATAACAAGAAATGTTATCAATATATCAAGTGGTAATGATGAAAGCAGACAAGTCAAATCATTTTATCCATGGAGTTAGGATGGAGTATTTAATCCTATCAATGCGAAGTATCTGCATGTGTATCAGGCTGCTCAGTGGTCTTTCATCAGAATGTAAACCAAAAATGAAATTCTAAGCCCCCCAACCAACTGAATGGCCCTCTCCCTTGGCCAGGGGCATTCTAATGTAAACCTGAAACACTAGTTCAGGCCATGATGGGAATGGGTGGTTGGACGTGCCTCATTATGCCTTACCCCTTATGAATTCAGGCCTAGCTGGCCAGCATTACCATTAAAAGAGAAACCTTAAGACTGACAAAGCTGACTCAGTAGCAATCAGATACCAGTATGACAGATAGCAGGCCCTGAAATAATCCAAATATTTTACCCCAAAATATATTTATTTGACATTTTTTGAAGTGGCCCTGCGAAGTGTCTCTTGTGGGGAAAATCTTCATTCTGTAGAGAATCCCCTTCCATTTCCAGGTCTTCCCTAAACAATGAGAAAATTAACTAAGAGTCTGGCACCATTTTAGGTCTGATAAGAGCTCTAAAGCATGCGACCTAGAGGCTTTATCTACACGATAAAACTTTGTTCCCTGCAATTCTTTATCTCAAACCAGACATCCCTTTCTACCGATTCCAGGTCTTTAGGAAACAACTCTTTCAATTGGGCACAGTGGCTCATGCCTGTAATCCCAGAACTTTGGGAAGCCGAGACCAGCCTGGCCAACATGGTGAAACCCCATCTCTACTAAAAATACAAAAATTAGCCAGCGTGATGGCACATGCCTGTAATCCCAGCTACTTGGGAGGCTGAGGCAGGAGAATGGCTTGAACCCAGGAGATAGAGGTTGCAGTGAGTCGAGATAGTGAGATGTACCATTGCACTTCAGCCTGGGTAACAAGAGTGAAACTCAGTCAAAAAAAAAAAAAAAGAAAGAAAAGAAAACTCTTTCAACCAATTGCCAATGAGAAAATCTTTGAATCCACCTACTACCTGGCCGCACCTGCTTTGAGTTGTCCTGCCTTTCTATACTGAACCAATATATATCCACATGTACTGATTTATGTCGCATGTCTCCCTAAAATGTATAACACCAAGCTGTAGCCTGACCACCGTGGGCACATGTTTTCAAGATCTCTTCAGGCTTCATGGGTCATTGGTCACTTAGACTGGCTCAGAATAAATCTCCGTATATTTTACAGAGTTGGACGCTTTACGTTGACAATACAATTCTTTGCATAGTGATGTTTGTTCACGTACTTGTCACTATGGTTGCAAATTAACAGTTGCAATTCGAGATATACCCTCTACATTCAAGACAGGAAGAAAGAAGAAATGCTCAGGGACATCTGATTGATGTTATCAAGAAACAAAATTAGTCCTAACTCTCCTTCCTCAAAGATGTGCTTTTACATATCACGTTTCAATGTTGTGTCATAGTTCCCCTACTTGCAAGGAAACTTGACATGGAGAGCATTAATCTGTACAGTCCCTACAGTAGAGGAAGAGAAAGGGAAGGAGAGGAGCAGGGATGGGTGATGATGAACTGCCATCCTATAGCATCTACTAGAGACATGCAAGAGACACAAACAGAATGATGTTAAATGAAAACATTCGATGCTTAATTTTTCTTTGGTCAAGCAATATCCAGCCAAGTGAGCAAAGAAGTTACCTATTTTACAATCTGTGGATGCCCTAGATAATTTCTATTCTGAACCTTTTATAGATGTCAATTTGTTAATTTCTCCAAGGTGAAAAACTTAAGAATACAGAATTTAGAACACTGAACCATCCGTCTGTCTTCCTACTGTTCTAATACATGGTATTTTCTTCCAGAGAAACAGAAGTGAGAAAGATATTGTAGTGGCCACAAGGATGCAACAAACAGATCTCCAAATTTGAAGAGCATAATTGACTGAGAACTCTGGCTACTGCATTCTGAGATCCAAGCCTCGGTTAGTGCTGAGGCCCCAACTTCCCACAGGCTGCTCTCACTCAGTGAGTAAGTGCAGTGATAGAAAGGTATGCTGATATTGGGAGACCCAGTGTTTCTCTGATGATGGCTTCAACTCGACTCCAGATGGACCTGTTGAACCTTTCTTAAATTACACAGCAGTGGATTATGCTTCCACTCATCTTTCCCTGCTCCGGCTTTCTCTTGGGATTTGGCGTGCATCTTGGTCTGATGCCTCTCCCAACCATTTCAGTCTCCCTTCCTCTTTCTTCTCACACAGATCTTTGCCCTAGTAAAATCATTGCATATTTAATCATATCTTGGTGTTAGCTTCTAACAGAACCTGGTCTAACACAGATACATTTATTTTCCAGTGTATATGCATTAAGGTTTTTTTATGCTACACTGTATTCTTCTGAGTTTTTATTTTTATAAAATGTTACTATGGAATAACAGACTTTATGTCATGTACACTAATACATTAATCTCCTTAAAATTTAATTCATCCTTTTTTATGAACAAGCATTTTTTCCAAGATAAAACTTCAAGTTTTGAATAATTTCTAATTGTAGCCTTCTCTGATGGACGTTTTAATCAACAAAATTAAATCTTAAATGCTGTGCTACTTCATTTTATTTTATTCCCCTATTTTAGTAGTTATGCTCTTTTAACCTATGCTGATGACTTTCACTTTAACATAATGATACAAGATTGACTAAAAGTTAGAAAATGAAATAACCCTTAAATAGTATAGATGTATAACTTTCTTCATGGTGTGATAAGCAAAAGTAAAATGCCTCATATCAAGTATCTCAAATTCTCTTAAAACTACTTAACCTTAAAGTATTGCCACTCTTTTTTGACCCAAAAAGCATGTAAATGTATATTGTTTGGGATTACTAATAGCAATTCTGACACTTTTGCTAATTTAATTCAAAATATTTTATTTTATGCAGTACTTCATAATTCTAGATAATTCAGTATAGAGCTACCTCAAATGTAGGCAGTTTTTATGTCAATAAACGTATAAAATGGACTGTGGACAATTTCTAAGATTTCCCTAGGTCTCTGTAGTCTAAAACCTCCTGGGGTTAACTATTGCATTTTTTAATGATCAGAAATAATTAAGAATAGACAGTGGCTTATTACTGGTATAATTCAAAAAGCCCTAAATTCTGATTCATCTATTCAGTAATCAGGCATTATGATTTATACTCTGTAAGTAAAGTTTATGAAAGACTATTTTTAGTGATCTTCATCATCTAAAAACTCAAACAAGTGAGTGACAAAGACACTTGAATAAATACAATTTAGTGTGATAATTACTACCTCCATTTGAGCCTAAAACTGAAAACAATTCTCTCTGCTTCAGTAAGTTGTGAGGCTACATGGGGAGTAGTTCTCACCTGGGTTTTGAGAAATGGGTCTGTGAGAAAGAGCAGAATGAGATAGAAAATAAGTGAGGACTATATATGCTAAAATAATGGGGCATAAAACAGCAGAAACAACTCAAAAACCAGAAGCTCAATGTGACTGGATCATAGAGGGGATTATGGGGTTTATGGGAGGTATTATTAGCATGGTAAAATGGGTCAGGTGTAGGAAGTTCTTTCATGGAGTGTTAAGGAATTTGAAAATTATCCCATAGACATTGTGAGTTGTTTATATTATCATTAATGCAGATAAATAACACAAGTAAGTAAAAGGACTTTAAACATAATCTTTGTAGCCACTAAAAAGGGAAAGACTTGAGGCAGACATACAATTCACTGAAATAGTCCAGGCTAAAATAAAGACCTTTATTAGGAGGCGCAATCAAAAGGAACTCTGAGACTTAAAAATGGAATTTGTAACCAAGATCCAGACAAATGAAAGTAATCCTCATTTGCCAGTCAAAATCTCAGTGAAGTTTTGATTATATGGGGTTGGAGGAGCTGAGGGTCCTGCAGCTGGATATTTACACATAGTTAGCAATATGAGTCTGGAGACTTCTAGAGGAACACAAGTTATAGAGACGGATTTGGAAGTCACAGACATATACATACTGTTTGAAAGCATGAGATTTGAGTGCTTTTTCAATATAGTTCAGCAAGATTTGCTTCAAAAGTATTTGTGTCTCTCAGACTGTCATCACTGCGGCATTGTAGTGAAGAGAAAATGGAACAGACTGTCACACAGACTTAAGTTCAAATACTAGCCTTGTCATCTACCAATCATCTATTGTTGAATTATTATCTCTAAAACTTAGTTTTCCTGTCTGTGAATAATGGGGATAATAATAATTTAATATTTCACAATGACTGAATGAGATAATTTAGACACAGCATACCTTTTCTACAATCGTGAGATATATCAAGTTCTGAAAACTGAAAGTTTGCTTTTTTTCCTTTCTTTCCTGGTAAGTTTATTGCAAAATCATCTGTTGGCAAAATCCTACCTGACCTGAAGGCAGGCTACTGTAGTTCGTGGTAGTCATTATTTATCATAAATTGTGTAATATTTATATGTTTGATTTGGGGGTAGTGCCAATTATGCCATATATGCAGTGTGCAGGCTTTCTAAAATTTGTGATACTCAAAAATGCAAAACATCTGGCACACAGAGTTTCAGAGAAGAGGTTATAACCCTGAATATACAAATTGCCTATATGATATCAATATAGAATAAGTTCTTAATAACTATCACCTACTGTTATCATTACCTGACTCTATGAACCTGCTGTTGATACCTGCTATTCAATCTTATCTTACCCAGCTTGTTGCTCATTATCTATATAATATTTTTATGCTTAACAAATTGACCTCGTTTTGACTTTGGTTTCTTACAGATGTCATTTCCTAGGATTAATACTCTTCTTCCTCTTTTCAGATAAACCTCATCCCAACTCCTTCTCAGTCTGAAGTCCCAACAGTAGCCACAGTTGGTGCCTGATTTTCCTAAATCCCTCAAAACTAAGGAGAGTGTATTGAATAATATTCAAGAAAAATATGATGAATGATAAGAGAATAGGATTTAGAATTAAAATTCTAGGAAAGATAAAATCTAAAGAGCATGGCAGTCAGAGGAGGAAACTAAGGAGGAAGACAACAGAAATAACAGCGTCAAAGAATTCAAGAGAAGAGAAAGATTTGGGAAGAAGTCGTGGTCAAATGTGTCACATGCCAGAGAAATACAATCAGATAAGGAATATGAAACCACTGGATTAAGTGTTGTATCACTGAGAAGCAAGAATAAAACTGTAGTATTTTGACACACGGAAGAAAGTGATGAAAATTACTGGAGTTTACATGTGCATAATACATGATACTAGGTGTATTAGTCTGTTCTTACACTGCTAATAAAGACATACCCCAGACTGCGTAATTGATAAAGAAAAAGAGATTTAATGGACTCACAGTTCCTCATGGCTGGGGAGGCCTCACAATCTTGGCAAAAGACAGATGAGGAGCAAAGGCACATTTACGTGGCAGCAGTCAAGATAATGTGTGCAGGAGAGCTGCCCTTTATAAAACCATCAGATCTCATGAGACTTATTCCCTATCATGAGAACAGCATGGGAAAAACTGATTTTTTCAGTTCAATTTAAAAAAATCATGATTCAATTTACCCATGATTCAATGACCTCCCACTGGGTCCCTCCCAAGACACATGGGGATTATGGGAGCTACAATTCAAGATAAAGTTTGGGTGGGAACACAGCCAAACCATATCAGTAGGTATGATCAAATCATGAAATGTTACTTGTTTCAGAATATATTCTATTGCATCCTGCTCCTGCAAGTCCAAAAGTACAAGAACACATGTTTAGTCCTAATTCAGAGAAATGAAATGAATAAATCCACATGGAATACATTATATAACATATACACTTATATGTTTTATATTTATATATACAATGGAGGTTATATTAGACTTCTGCAAAAAATGTTTGTTGCTTCAATAAGAAAAACTTTTTGTTGCAATTTTTATAAGGAAAAAGTAATATGTATTACTTATTAGTTGATGTTGCAAAGCTGATGCTTAACACCACAGTCTTTTCTTTTTTCATAATCATTATGACAGCATGTTTTGAACACCCTGCATAGGAGAATCACCAAGACCAATAGCAGGCTATGCAGGAGTGAGAGATAGATAAACTTTTGTTGTAGTCCAGTAACCAAAAGATAGGGTTATTTATAATCTATATCATCTTAATTCATATAAGGTCACAGATTAAAAGAAACAAATATTTTATCCTCCCTTCTACCTTGAATTAGACCATATAATAATGTGCATCAGATATTAAAGAGCTGCTTTTATATTAAAGTGATACTTTGGCTTGCTTTCTTACTTCCCTTTTATGCTCTCTCAATGTTCTAGGAAATAAAGTTGCCCCTATCTGCTTACAAAGACAGCCAGTTAGTTCTCACTTCCTCTAAAAGTGCATTCTCTAATGGGATCTAATTAAACTAAAGAGCTTCTGCACAGCAAAAGAAACTACCATCAAAGTGAACAGGCAACCCACAAAATGGGAGAAAATTTTCGCAACCTACTCATCTGACAAAGGGCTAATATCCAGAATCTACAATGAACTCAAACAAATTTACAAGGAAAAAACAAACAACCCCATCAAGAAGTGGGCGAAGGACATGAACAGACACTCTCAAAAGAAGACATTTATGCAGCCAAAAAACACATGAAAAAATGCTCACCATCACTGGCCATCAGAGAAATGCAAATCAAAACCACAATGAGATATCATCTCACACCAGTTAGAATGGCAATCATTAAAAAGTCAGGAAACAACAGGTGCTGGAGAGGATGTGGAGAAATAGGGACACTTTACACTGTTGGTGGGACTGTCAACTTGTTCAACCATTGTGGAAGTCAGTGTGGTGATTCCTCAAGGATCTAGAACTAGAAATACCATTTGACCCAGCCATCCCATTCCTGGGTATATACTGAAAGGACTATAAATCATGCTGCTATAAAGACACATGCACATGTATGTTTATTGTGGCACTATTCACAATAGCAAAGACTTGGAACCAACCCAAATGTCCAACAATGATAGACTGGATTAAGAAAATGTGGCACATATACACCATGGAATATTATGCAGCCATAAAAAATGATGAGTTCATGTCTTTGTAGGGACATGGATGAAGTTGGAAATCATCATTCTCAGTAAACTATCGCAAGAACAAAAAGCCAAACACCACATATTCTCACTCATAGGTGGGAATTGAACAATGAGAACACATGGACACAGGAAGGGGAACATCACACTCTGGGGACTGTTGTGGGGTGGGGGGAGTGGGGAGGGATAGCATTGGGAGATATACCTAATGCTAGATGACGAGTTAATGGGTGCAGCACACCAGTATGGCACATGTATACATAAGTAACTAACCTGCACATTGTGCACATGTACCCTAAAACTTAAAGTAAAATAATAATAATAATAATAATGATAAAAGAAATGTAAAACATTGGAAAAAGAATAAATAAATGTAAATGTGTTTAAAAAAAAAAGTGCATTCTCTCCCCTGTGTCTTTCTAGACTTGTGGCAATTAAGAATATCTCCTGCAGACATAAGGGGAGATATTTTGGTGCATTTCCATTAACCTATGCTGAAATTATGACAGCACATATGCTAACAAATAATTCTACTAAATATGTCCAAGTTATATATCTTTCTAAGGTGAAACAATAAAGATAGGACAAAATTAGGTAAAGAAGCAGAGGGCCGAAAGGAGTTGAGGGGACCTGTGGACATTAAATTTCACCAAGCCAGGTGTAGAATGAATTTAAATACACACACTAACTGTCTCATAGATATATTCACATGTATTACACCTGAGACCCAATATTTTCTTTCTAAAAAATAAGCAACTTAAATTGACCCAGGAAAGCCTTTCATGCAGTGATTCAATAGTCAATCTCATGTTTAAAGGAAGAAAATAGGAATCACAAAATTAACAGTGACTCCATACTACATGTATTTGTTTAAAAAGGGGGGGGTGACTATTTTTCTTTCCATGCTATAAAATTGGGTCTTCATTGAAAGTAAAAACTCCATAGTTCAAAATGTGTGATTTCACAGGCAATATTTCAAAGTGATATCTTTAATGTATTTACAGGTAAGTAGTGATAATGTCTCAAAAAGGATTTCCAAAGAAATGATTTCCAACTAAAAGATAAATATTAACCTAAAACACTATTCTCACATATGTGCCTTAGTATATATTTTTATTTTATTTAAATCTGATGAGTAACACAGGGCTTGTTTAATATTGCTTCTTTTACATTTTTTGGACTTGACTAAAGGTATATGTACAAGCCTTTTAAACATTTAAAAAATTACCCACATTCATGGACATTCAGCCTCCAGGTTTGTTATGGTATTGGTGATACTTTTTTTTTATTTTTTTTATTTTATTATTATACTTTAAGTTGTAGGGTACATGTGCACATTGTGCAGGTTAGTTACATATGTATACATGTGCCACACTGGTGCACTGCACCCACTAACTTGCAGTTGGTGATACTCTTTAGCTACAAACAAGGCAAGGATGATATTTCTAGATTTATCAAAGTTCATGATATTCTGGAAACCTGAATGAGACCTCTGGCAATTCACCTAAGTACGCTTCACCTTTCTTCGCTTCTGGTGGATTTCGTTGTAAGAAAAAATCAAATGGGTTAAGTCACAGGGAATATAGCTGATAGCCTCAGCAGGACAAAAATAGACATATGTCTCTATTAAGGATTATACATGTGCTTATGTATCACATAGGCTCTATCTTGCTCCACTTGGATAATTGCCCAAATTATATTTTCCTGACAGTTTGTACTAGATTAGTTACATGGTTAGGCATTAGATTGGATTATAAAATGCAATGGAAAGCTAGCATTAATTCCTTTCAAACTGTGTAAAAAACATTACAATGTTCACACAAGCCAATTATTCTATTTAAATAAGATGTTTTAAAATTGTCATTATTCAATCAGTCAAGCCCATATGATGCTTATTATGTTCAAGAGTCTGTTCTAAAGCCTTTAAAAATAACACATTTCCACTTCCCAACTACCCTCATAGACAGGTTTTATTGTTTTTATCATCCTCACTTTCCAGATGGAGTAACTTAGCTATAGGGAATTTAAGTTGCTTATCTAAGTCACAAAAATGGTAAGAAATGGAAATGAGATTCGAACCTGGGTAGTCTAGCTGTACATCTCAAGTATTTAACCCCACTGGTATACTAACAGTTTATGTATTTTAGAATCCAGACTATCTCATCTGAATGCTAGAATATTACAACCTGGATTTATTTCAATATATCTCTATTGTTCATCTTTCAGTGTATCCAGCTGTACTGCTCCTGGTAAAAGGTAGTTTAGTGAAAACTATTTATCTTAATTTGCTAGTCTCATGAGGAAGGAGACAGGGCAAGGCAAACAGGAGTTGTGAAAAGATGGTTTCTGTGCTCCCACAAATCTTAAGACTATTTTGTTCCTCTCTCCTCCAAGAACAAAAGCACATATTCTGCCGGGGTCAGGCTTGAGAAAGAAGCACTTAACGGGAACCTGCCCTAACAAAGGTGTAATAATCTTTTATTTGGTGTAAACGGCACTAAATGTGCCCTCAAATAAACTCATTTTCTTCATGCTGAGGCTCACAGATGGATGTTATTAACCATGTGTGCCATCTGGTAACTTCCTTTTTTAGCTAATCATTCTTGTTAAGTAGGTGCTAAGTCTTTACAATTATTATTTTCATGTTGTACCCTCTAAATTTGGGTGAACTGGGGCAGAGTACCAATTGTCCCTTTCTAATTATAGTTCTGTGGCCTGAATGTGAAACTCCAGGAACCAAAATCAGACAGTGAGTAAAGTATTGAGCAAGTTGAGCTCTAAATGTTCAAGCCTAAAACAACATCCAACTTTAAGTTTTATATAAAAAACAAGAGGAATTATGTTTACATCTCATGAATTACTGTGGTTACAGAAAATAGAAACCTAAAGTTTCAGTTGCTCAGGAATTTTCAGTCTACATAAGTATAAAACATTAGGACATTATTGTATGAAAGTGCATTTAGAGGACTTTTTTGACAAATTAAACCTCTTTATTAACTTCAGACGAATTATAAGGCATGACATATTGGAAGACACATATTTTGTGGTTCTGTGCTACATGAATTATACTGAACTACCTCATTGTTCATACTATTGGGATGATACACAATTAGGGTCCTTTTTATTTATTTATTTATTTTATCTTGCAAGAAACGACAACTACGTATATGAACAAAGAGGCAACATTTTACAAGCTACATAACACCTTGGCATTTAAAAACAACTCATTTATTTTATTATTTAATTTGTTCTTATATGTTCAGTTTTACATCTTTATACATTCTTAAACATTCAGTCACTGAAGAATAATATTAAGTATAATAAAAAAATACCTATAGTTCAGACATTTGTAAAAGTTGAAATTTATGTCCTTTATTGTTTTTGCTTTTTTTACATAACAGGATAGGTTAATTGGAAGTGGAAGAATAAAAACATTTCTTTTGTATTCCCTTTTATTTCTAATAACTCAGGTTTGAAATCCTGACAATAGCATAAGAGATGAGACTGGCTTAAATTTGTAAACTCTCTGCTTTAATGCTTGTTATCTAAATACGAAAGAGAGAAATGTATGGTTTGACTAAGGAATCAAATATTATTAAAGCATATATACCAGTACTATAGCCATTATATTTCACATGTTTTTTTATCATGCATGTATTACTCAGAGGAAGCTACCTGCTATAACAGGTATCCCTAAAATCTCATTTATATAGCACAGTAAAAGTTTATTTTTTATCTACATTCATCCAATCAGGTTTTATCAGGCAGCCTTTTATATTCAGGGATCAGGCACCAAGGGCTTCATCCAAGGACCTCAAAGTCCTTCACTGGATTCTTTGCCTTCAGCCATCTGATAAGCAATGAAAGATAAAATTAAGATCATTTCTGCCCACATTCTGTCAGATAAAATTTGTCATATGGCTCTTCCTAAATGCAAAGGTTGGAAACATGGTCTCTCTGTTTTCCCAGAAGTAAAATGTAATGAACTGGTGAAGACATAGCATGGTCTTACATTCTGAGAATCCCTATATTTATCAATAATTTGGGTATTTTGTCAGTTAATATCCAAATAATGAAGACAGCTTGTTAAATTCAGTTTTGGTTAAACAGCTTGCTAGCAATTAGCTTCTGATCCACATGATTTTAGTTTATTTTGGATGCAGCCTACTTAGTATTTCAAGTGGTATGAATTAGAATCCTCAACAGAGAGAATCTAATAACAATCTTCCAAGCTCTTCAGGAGTGCCGTTTCTATTTGTTCAACAAACTACCGATTTGCCTATGCCTGATTTAACAGTAGAAAATACCTTGCTCTGTCTTCAAATACATTCTGGGTTTTTAAGGGGATGGAATCAGAAAAATCAGTGGTTGGTATACATCTCATTTACCACATTGACTGCTAGTCCTGCAGCAAGCAAAGCAGTCTTTGAAAGTGCTGAATAATGTCACCCCTGTTCTGGATGAATACCACATGCCACGTTATCACCTCCTTATTAGTAATAATAAATTGAACCATCATGAATGAAGCATTCAAGATTTACAAACACTTAGAAATATGTTTTCTTTAAGATATGCATAACGTATAAATCAAGTTTAATTTTGTGCTTGTTCCTAGAAGCAGCATTGGAGCTCAAAAAGTCAGCTGCCTAATTCTTCTAGAAAAGAAATTAATTTTCAGAATATGTCTAGTAATTCAGAAATCAAACAGTTGTTAGTTATGGAAAGGGAAATCAAGAGCATTGCAAGAATCTAAGCATCTAAGCACAATAAACTTGAATTTGATGCAATGCACATGATTGTATGGATATCTAATTTTCACAGTGGAAGTTCATCAGATCTAAGTTGAACTATCAATATTTCTGAATTGAATGAAAATTAGCTAGCAATGAATTAATTGATATCTCCCACTGATAAGACTTCCATTGAATTACATGGGATATAAAGAAATACAGCTATTAAAATGAGGAAAAACAAAATTAACTATAAAGAGCTTCATAGTCTGATTGCAAACTGAATAGCAATATAGTGAATTATGAAAGGTCAAATGACTCATACATTCAATTACTGGCTAAAACACTGTATCTTAACTCTTGATGAAGGATGAAACCCATAGCCAAATCTCTTTATTTTTTTTCTTTTAAAAAATCCAAAATTAATAACAGTTAGAGCATGTTTTAGCAATCATGCTCCCCACACCACCAGACTCTATACAATTATTTTAGGATGTTTCAGTATGCACAAGTTGTTTTGATTGACCTGACCAGTCAAAGCAGTCCATTGATTTCTCTCAAAGCACATTCTTGACTACAGTTTCCTTAAATTCCTGCTGCTTCTACCATTTAGATTCAAGTACAAAGAAGAAATACGTAGGTAAAGGAAATAATTATAGTCTTATGTGGAATATATCACTTAATGAGTCACACACATCATTCCATTGATTTAACAAGAAATGAAGAGAATCCTAGACACCTGATTATCTATAGCACCAGAGTAGAATATCATACCCCCTTCCTGTCAACAAATTGAGTTCACCACATCCAGTATCTGACTGTGGTAAACATATAGTTCAATGTTTTCTTAATAGTGATCTGAATTATTTAACATCTTAGTTGGACGATGAACTAGAAAACATCTAGATATCTTTTGGGGTTTGCTATGTTTCTTTGACTTTCTTCTATCTCTCCCCCAGATCATCTCCTGGGGATAATTGTGAAACTATAACCTTAGTTATTGAGTACTGTGCTTATGATACAAATATCCCTTTAGGCTATTGAAGTATATGCAATCTCAAAAGAAAAATTAGCTCTTTTTAGAATAAAATTTTTATAGTTTTAAAACAGTCAGTACAAAAATCCCCTAAATCTGTATTGCTACAGATTTTCACAAATAGAAGCAGGATGCAAAAAAGCATCAAGTTTGAAAATTAAATTGTAAAATCTAATTTACATATAAGAAGTAGAAACAAAGGTTAAACATTTAGTTGTAATTTTAATCTGAAAAATACATATGAACAGCCTCCAGAACTCAGTAACACAAAAAAATTGAAAATAATTGAGTTGAGTTGGCCTTTAAGAGTACACATTAGGCAGTAACTTACATGATATGATTGAAGGCTCTAAAGCACATAGCCTGATCAAAAGTTCCTTGTCCCTGAAAGAACAGGTACTCCTACATATTTATTATTCTGAGTCTTCTGAGTTGCTTCATTAGGTACTTTTTCTAAGGGACTGGTTGCTGGATGTGGACATGATAAGATTCAGGAAAGAATAACAAAAATGGGCAGAAGAACACCAGAAACCATCTCCCAATTTGCATTATGACTATGTCCTAAATCTTATGCAGACAGACATTGTGGTTATCATTATGCCTTATAGTTTAAATTAAAATAATAAGAACATATTAAGATGGTTATGCTTTACATAATATGTACATTTAAAAGCATGGATCTTTTTTAGATACACCTCCTTTCCTTGTCCTGAAACATCTACAAGGACACCTGTCTGCCAAGACATAAGGTAAAATTGTTCTCTTACCTTTAGAATTTACTCAGAGTATGTATTTGGTATTTCTTTAATATAAATCCTCTTCCAAGTGATCCATTTCTGGTAATAATATACTAGTAGCAGTAGTAGGAACAATAATAAATAATACTTGAGTGCTTTCTCTTACAAGGGCTTATGAAGTAATACTGCTGTATCTGTATTCAACAAATGTTTTTCACTGACCAGAGCTATATAAGGTTGTAAATCAAAATAAACCTCTTAAAAAGACTTCCTTTTGTTCAGCCATTCCCTTGGAAAACATCACCTGGGTAATCTACAGAGGAACTGGGACCATTAAAGACTATTGATTAGTTTAACTTTGTTTATAGTCAACAAGGAGGTTGATTGACTTCTGAAACACACAGGTTAATGACTGTCTGTGAAATCCCTGATACCTAATGTCACAATATTATCCGGTAAATTAACATTTGAAAAGTTTGGATTCTTGAGTTAGTTGTCAAAGAAATTATTATAGTATCTGTTAAAAATGCTTATAGTTTTATTTGTGACCACTCATTTCATTATTAGTCTATCCCCATGAAGAGCCACTAAGAATTCTATCAATACAAAGTCAACTTGTATTGAATTACTACAAGGAACAGCGAGTAAAATTTTTTATAAGCAGAAATTCAATATTCATGCAAAACAACTTAGCCTTTGCTGCCAGGAGCCTTTCCACAGCAAAACGAAGGACCATGGTTACTTGAAGATTGTACAGAGACTGTCTTCAGTCCTTTGAAATTAAATCACTAAGTGAGCTTCCATGTATTAATATAGGGTCACTGTGGCAAGAGGAAGAAATGCACACCTTCTTGTGGCAATCGAATAACTGCAATAATTTTATGTCACTAAGCTGACTCACATACAGAAAAGGTGGTATGAACTTGTCAATGGTAGTCTAAACTCATCAGCAGACAAATGCACTGACAGTTTGATTGTTGAAGGAGTATATTCACGGCTCTCACATCTTTGCAAATGGAAAAATGATAGTGAGATTAAAATTGAAAAAAATCTCTGGCCCAGAGTCCTGTGTGATAGCAGTAAAACATGTTAATTTCTTGACAAGCTGAAAATGTAAGATAGAAACTTCACTTGCAGTTGAATCTGGAACTGTTTCAAAACTGGAGAAGGAACTCAAATTTATAAATACTTTCAGAAATGTCTGCTTACTCACACTGTTTCAAGACAGTTTTCTCAAGGTAATGAAAAGATCAAAGTGATATACATCTACATTTTTTGTTAAAAAGCAATAGACAAATTTTTTAATGAAAATATATTTTTTCAAAAGAGGTCCAAAAATCTCCATTATAAAAATATTTTTATCACAATGAAGAGCTACATATTTTTCAGTGTCTTGATTACTAAAATAAAAAAATAGACTTTCAGATTTGACTTATTTAAGTAGTCATGGAAATAAGGTTAGGAAATCTAGTTAGGATGCTGACCTAAAGATAGAAATTCTATTATTCTTATGGTAAGTATACTTGTGTGAGAGCTACATACCTCAAAAATCATTGGGAATTGCAAAAAGTAAGTTTCATTAATTTTTTCAGAGTCTGGCAAAAAGAAAGTCAAGTGTTAAAAATAAAAAGTGATAAAGAAACAGGATGCATGAGCTTCATCCACTAAAGCCATAATAATTGAATCATTCTGCCCCCCTTCTTCCATTGAGATTATAATGGCTCCATACTAGGTAAGCAAGTGAGACTAATAACAGCATCCATCCTCATAAGCATGCCATTAAAGCAGAAGAGGATAGCAGGAGCAACAGGAGAAACAACACTATGCGTAAATCACTCTGACCTAGAAGACTGAAGCAAACGTAAAAAGAAACCGTGAAAACACAACTAGCAGCTAGTTGTGTTCTGACACAACTAGTGTCAGAAGATGTACTAGGGTGGGTTAGCTATAAGTAGTACATGCAGAAAGGCATGGCTCCTAATGCAATGTAATACATCCAGGAAAGATTTCAAAGGAAAAAAAAAAAAGATATTAGTCATCAGTAAAAAACATTGCTTGGAAAAAAAAAAAAAAAAAAAACAGCCCTCATTAAAGTATTTGCTTGTAAGACCTAATAGCTCAAAGAAGCTACAAGAGTTCATTTTCATCTAGATGATGCTATGACACAACTGATCATAAGCAGGTGACTTTGTATTGCATTTTTGCTTTACCAGCAAAATTGGACTAATCAGCACCCTTCAGTATTCAGTAATATTGATGATGTTAAAATCTTAGGTTTTAGTAACTATGAAGTAATTATGTTACTGCAGGACTACAGATTGTACCCATAACCCTATGTAGCTCCTCGATCCTGTTCTAAACATTATTTATTTTAATTTTAATTTTAATTTTAATTTTTATCTTTGAGATGGAGTCTCGGTCTGTGGCCCAGGCTGGAGTGCAGTGGCGCGATCTTGGCTCACTGCAACCTCCGCCTCCCGGATTCAAGTGATTCTCCTGCCTCAGCCGCCCGAGTAGCTGGGATTACAGGCGTGCAACACCACACCCGGCTAATTTTGTATTTTCAATAGAGACAGGATTTCACCATGTTGGCCAGGCTGTTCTCAAACTTCGGACCTCAGGTGATCCGTCCGCCTTGGCTCCCCAAAGTGCTGGGATTATAGGCGTATTGATTTTTCTCTTGGAACGTTTTTATTTTCTCAATGTTGATATTGGTATGACAACCTGGTAGAATAAGTAGAAAAATCAACACCTCAAATAACTTCTTAACATTCAAAACAACACAATTAATTTTCTGAAGTTTAATATTTGAAGGTAATTATAAATTGCTACTATGAAAAAGATGTAGCAAAGAACTGATGCTTGGTTTTTGATGGTTTGGGGCAGGGATCAGCAAACTTTTCCTCTAAAGGGCCAGACAGTAATTTTCAGTTTAGTGGGACATATGGTCTCTGCCACAACTACTTGGCTCTGCCACTGAAGTGTGAAAGCAGCGACAGACCATAGGTAAATGAATGAACATGGCTGTTTTCCAATAAGAGTTTATGTATAAAAACCAGCAGTGAGCTGGTTTTGACCCATGGGCCATAATTCATCCATCAGTGGTTTAAAAAAAGGTGAAAGTAAAATAATACCTTAACTGTAATTTTGGAATCAAATTTATACACGGAGATTTTTCCTCCACATCATATGCTGCCTTTCCTCTAAAATTAACATTGTAGGTAACAGTATTCTGGCTGAAATATTCTTAAATCCATTATTACTTTTAAAATTTTTTCTTAATTAGAACATACATTTATTCCCCAAAACTCAAAAACTCATTTTATTAAAATATGAGGTTGTGAAGTGAAAAAAATACGCAAAGACTAAAGTGTTTAGGAATTAAACATACAGTATAAGTTGTATACTATTGTTCAGTTGTATCTAGACATGTTTATTACCAAGCTGGAAGCCGCTTAGGTTGACGATATTATACTTACAAATGTCACCACAGGTATAGTTGTTCACCAAACATGTGCTAGTTATTTAAACCCTTTCTGGCTCTATGCACAAGCTCATGTCGTCACGCTGTTGTTTAGGTCACATTATCAAGAAATATATGTCTAGCAGCCACTTTCTCAGATCAGAAACTGTAATTTACTTAGTAATTTATGACTTTAAATAAAAGAATCACTGATTCAGAATAATAATAATTTGTCTTAAACTTTGGTTTGTGGATTTACCAGCCTAGCAATAATATTTATTTTTATTTCTATTTATTTTTAAGGGAAGGACCCTTCACTATTTTGAGAAGCAGAATACTTCACTGTGTGTCAGAATTTTCTGGTGCTCCACAGTAAATAAAAAATTGTCATTCAATTAATAAAATGTGTAAAGAAGCATACAATTGTAAAAGTTACCACATAATGTGGGATTCCCTTGATTTCTTCTACTGCTCTCCTGCAGAATTTAGAATGATGAGCCCCTTATTTTCTTCACATCACTTTTGGAGACTTTTGTTGGTATTTTGTCCTCTGTACCATTTTTCCTGGTTATTCATTCTCAGCATTTAAAGTTGGATAGGAAATGCTTTCCTCCTCTAACTTCTGGTGATGCAGTTCTGTCCATATGCATCACTGTTACTTTTCTTTATGGTGTTTGTAGGTAATGGAAGCAATTTTGTAAATGTATCTCTTATATTAAGAATCCCCTCCTGAAAGGAAAAAATTTAGTCCTGTAATTCTTAGACTCTTCTGATAGCTCAGACTAGTGTGGTTAGAAAGCACTAGGGTGCTATACAGTGCCAAAAACATCTTTTTAAATACAATTTTCTTGTATATATTTATGTAGAAAAACATAACGGTGAACATACATAGAATGCATACATCCTAAACAAGTTAATTTTATTTCAAATTTTGTTTGCCACCAAATTCTATAGTAAAATTGAAAATATATTTAATTCAGTTGATCTGAATTGAAAAGAAATTGTTATAATGATATCTTGAATGATAAAACAGGCATTAAGTTATATTGCAATGTTACACTAACAGGGAATTTGAACACCAACTTAGCAGTTTAATTTTTACTTCACAACATTTTTATAGTCTATATACTGTGGTTTGTCCCTGTATCTTATTTGCCATCAAAATTTCCTTTTAAACTATAAAATTTTCTCAGACTTGCAAAACTCTTGATTCTTCTATGAATTATCATAAAGTTGAATGCCCTCATTCATTTCTTGTTTGGGTATTAGCAGTACCTGGAGAAGATAAGTCAATAGATAAACATCCTCATATTAACCCAGAAGATAGTCATAGTTTTAAGAAAAATGAAATACAAAAAATTAGCCGGGCGCGGTGGCGGGCGCCTGTAGTCCCAGCTACTGGGGAGGCTGAGGCAGGAGAATGGCGTGAACCCGGGAAGCGGAGCTTGCAGTGAGCCGAGATTGCGCCACTGCAGTCCGCAGTCCGGCCTGGGCGACAGAGCGAGACTCCGTCTCAAAAAAAAAAAAAAAAAAAAAAAAAAATTAAAAAGAAAAATGAAAATCATGTCACAAAAATCATATATTCAAACTAATTACATAAGATATACATAAGGTCAGAAGTTTATTTTATGTGAAAAGAGCTTTAAAAAAACTGTTTAACTGAATACTTTAGTAACATGGAAAAATCTCTCTGCTTGCTATAAGATCTGGATATTGCAGAAATAAAAATATGTGCTTCTCAGGATGAACTGTTTATCCTAAAACAGCAGAATATTTCTATAGTATTTTGATATTTAATAAAAATTAAAGTAGGATGATACACACATTAGAGACTAAGAATTTAATTCTAATTCACAAAACAAAAAGTATCCAAGACAGCAATAATTATGGGACTCAAACACAGAGTAAAATATTTAGGTTTTAGCATTTCACATGCTACCTTTGATCTTGTGGTCATATTAATTGCATTATCCTGTTTGTGTATGAGAATATATTCCATTGCTTTCAATTAATTTCAGTCAAACTATTCAAATTAAAGAACATTTTGCTTCTATTAGTATAAAAGCAACTTTGATTAATGCATTAAACTTTCCCATAGTGTCAGATATGTGATCAGTTCAAATAATATTACCTACAGATATTTATTTAAAAATATTTCACAGTTAACTTGAATTTATTGATATTTTCCCTGACTCTGATAGAGCTGAGAAATTATAGAATCCCAATAATAACGGTGTTAATTTAGATACTAGGCAGAAGTTTTTATCCAAAAGAACTCTATTGATAATGTATTTGCAAAATTCTCTAGTTAAAAGCATGGCTTGATTTGCACTTTACAACAAAGATAAACCCATGATAAATAATATTTGTTCATTATTATGCTTAACCAAAAATAATTAACAAAGACCTCATGCTTAAAAAGAATTGGTGGTGAGATTGTAACTAACAAAGAAACTCCATGAACCCCAGCAGCAAATGCTTAAGAAGGACATATGGAATAATTTCAAACATTATATCAGACATTATAACAAATAAATAAATGTGAATTTGACCTTAATGTTCCTAAGTCAATGATTAATACAATTATGTTGAATAATTTTATTTGTTATTTAAATATACTGATTTCTTACAATCTTTTATGGAAAAAGGTATTTTGGAAAAACAAGGTATCTAGATTTATAGCTATAAGATACATTTATTCATTTATCAACAAAAACATGCTTATGCAACAGCAGTTCTCCAGGTTTTTTCATATATTGTAGAGGTAAATATTGAGAATAAACACATACACAAACACACAGATACACAAACATACACAGTGGGTGCTCAACAGCTTATCACACACCAGAGGAAAAAAGATGTTAATAGATGAATATACTTATAATAAGTGCTACAATAGAATAAATTTGACTCAAAATGCAGCCTTAAAGTTTCTCTTCATGTCAGTACAATGTGATTTTACTTGGTTTATGTATTTTTTAAAAAATAAACCAATGAAAAGCTTAGGTAATTATACTTATCATTTCAAAATTTGACTGTTTAAAGTACTTTATTTAAACTTTATATATACATCAATACACTGCATCCATAGATTTCTTCTATTATCCAAAATAATGTGATTTTTTAACATGTTTAACTATCTGGTTTTTCTTTCTCATGTGTACCAAATTCAGAGAGAAACAGATAATAAGTGGGAAGTGTCAGGGTAATAGAGAAGGAACTTAGATGTAGTCCTAGGACTAAGTCAAATACCCAAATACATACATACATACACCACACACACACACACACACACACACTGTCTCTCTCTCTCTCTCTCTCTCTCATATGCATATATCATATAGATGTATATGTTTTAAAGCCTTGTCTTTGAATAAAAGAAATTGCTTTGCATATATGTTTAAACTTGAACAAGTATTTTAAAATGGATTAAAAGTGAGAATAAATGAGTAAATATTCAACAAAATAAAAATAGTATATGCAATCAAATATAGTATGTGTTTCAGACAGTGGGTCTGAGTTTGTTGAAGGAGAAATTTTAGAATCAGTCAAAATATAAAAGATTTGAAAAATTATAAAACTTATCCATGTGAATTCTCTGTGTGACATGACTAAAACTAAACCTTATAAAAGATTATGTTGCTAGCACTGTCAAAGTTAGATTGGAATCATGAGCAATACTGAAACCAGGAAAACATCCCAAGATACCATACTCTAATTGGAAGAACAAAATATGAAGTCAAAAAGAAGCCATGAGAATGGAGAAGGAGGCTTGATATATGACAGTTTTGTGGGTACATTGCCGAAGTTTTTGGTGAACATGTGGCCATATATTCAAGTCCATAGATGTAAAAACTAAACATTTTCTTGGGGTTTTTGGTATTTTGTTTTATTTTTTGGAGATGGGGTCCCATTCTGGTGCCCAGGCTGGAATGCAGTCACGAGATCACAGCTCGCTGCAGCCAGGCACATACACACATTAGCTGTTTGGTAGCACCCAGCTATTGTGTGTGTGTGTGTGTGTGTGTGTGTGTGTGTGTGTAGAGGTGAGGTCTCTTGTTGAGAGGGCCTACAAAATGGCCAGGCACAGTGGCTCACGCCCATAATTCGACCATTTTGAGAGGCTGACCTCCCAAAGTGCTGGAATTACAGGTGTGAACTACTGTCCCTGGCCATTTTCTTGTTTTTAAACAAATCATTTGACTCATTTCAATATCTAATGTAAACTTTTAATTCATGGGTGATCACCCTAGGCACTATTGACATATTGGACTACATGCCAATAGTTCCTTCTGATTTGTGACTACCAAAAATTGCAGGCATTATACAATGTCCTTTTGGGTGCAAAGTTTGCACCAGTTATGAATCTTTTCTATATATTAAACATTTACCTTTTTAGAAAAAAATTCAATACTTAAGCTATACATTATCTTTGTCTACAATAATTAATTACATAACAAACACTCTCAAATGTTTAGTGGCTTACAACAACAAATATTTACTTTCATCACTCAGAACCAGAGTGTCAGATGGTATTTGGCTGATCTTGGCTGGGCTTGGCTGGATTTAGTCAGCATAGCTTTGGGCTACAGCTCAAGTTCAAGTATTTTTCATGTGTTTCATGTGGGGCTTAGGTTAAAGGGACAGTGACTGCTGAGGTATGCTATTCTGATGGTGATATCAAAAGCCCAATGAGGAAGCCCAAACAGGTATGTACATTTCAAGCCTCCACTTGCATTGAGTGCTGTAACATCTAGTTGACCAAAATCAAATAGTATAGTGAAGGCCTAGGCAAGGACAGAAAGTTATTCTGCCTACCATGTGTCTAAGGCAAGAATGTGAAATAAACAATTGAAACCAACTATTTATTATATCTACCACATACTCAAATGATATCTAGAACATAGTCTGTAGATTTAGATCTATTAATTTACTTACTTTTACTTTTTTTTTCTTTTCTTTTTTTTTTTTTTGAGAAAGAGTCTTGCCCTGTGGCCCAGGCTGGAGTGCAGTGGCGTGATCTCAGCTCACTGCAACCTCCACCACCCAGGTTCAAGGGATTCTCCTGCCTCAGCCTCCTGAGTGGCTGGGATTACAGGCATGTGCCACCACACCTGGCTAATTTTTGTATTTTTAGTAGAGATGGGGTTTCATCACGCTGATCAGGCTGGCCTCAAACTCCAGACCTCGTGATCTGCCGGCCTCAGTCTCCCAAAGTGCCAGGATTACAGACATGAGTGACCACACCCGGCTACTTACTTTTATACTGATGCTGATTGTACAACTTGTCACTTATCTGAGAACCACTATAAGAATATAAGCAGAATTTTCAATAGAAACTTTGCAGCATAGAAAAGTGGGAAGATATTTTCAAAGTGCTGAGGGGAGGCGGGGGAGAACTGACAACCAAGAATACTATGCCTGGCAAAACTGTTCTTCAAAAGTCAAGAGATATAGCTCAATAGCTGTTCTAATTGCCTCCTCGTACACCTTCCTGTACCACAACATCTAGCAAGATAATAAATGGAATTGGGACATTTTGTTACTGACATGAATATAGTAGATTGACTAGTACCAACTATTCAAGGTCAGGCACTGCAGAAGCAAAGCTAGTGTCAGGGTTTCAGGTGGATAAGATTGAGGGAGCTCTCATCAGGAAAACCTGCGAATGTGGGCAGCCAAATAGGAAAGAGGAAGGAGCTGGGCAAGAGTGTAGTCTCACATAGATTCTATCCTTGATCTGATTCATGAGCATGCTCTGGAGCATAAATCACATTGCAGAGTCATCCCTCTTAAGCAAAGCAAATAGACCACAGAGCCCCCTTATTAAGCCATAAGTGCAATGGACGGGAAATGTAACATCCATCCCGGGTATAAGCTGTTAACATAGCCCCTCCCAACTAGAAGGTAGGTGTATACCACCTAGTAAATTGGATATGGACAGGGCATCGAAAGCACCCACTATAATTGCTTTATATAGTAAATTATAACTACATTTATACTTTCATTTACATTTCGAAGGACCCTCCTGATCAGTTAAAATATGCTTACTATGCCTACTTTTCCCTAATGCTTTTTCTCTGTAAATTGTTTTTTATCTAAGTCACAACTCTGCTTATCCTACTCTTTCAATTGCCCCAAACTTTTCTTCACCCACTGGTATTAACCCAAGTTATATATGTTGAATTATACAGCTGCTTACCCTCCAGCTGCTTCCCTTGTTGAAGTAAATAGAGTCTGGCCCTAAGTTGGGTTTCTGTCTCATCTAGTATTTATCCTGGGGTCTATTTAAATTTCTGTTTTCTACCTTAGCTTTGGGACTATTCCTTGTTCTTCTTTTTCTTTCCCTGAACATCAGTGGCACGTTTCCCACTGGCTACCATTCTGACCCCTGCTCCCTACTCCTTATCTATAAGTTATCCTTACAAATATCATGTAATATAATTGCTTTCTCTGACTCTAAGTTAAACCATGCACGCTGTCTGCTAACCCATTTTAACCAGGAGGCACACACAGGCAGGAGAATAAGTAAAACAAGTGTTCTTCATAGCTTGCCCTTCATAAATTGCTATTCCTCTGGGGAGGGGGCTAGCGTATGATTGAATTATCTTCCTTGCAGAAGCACAATGTGCATATGTTGTACCAGTACACCCCAAGTTTTTAGGAACCAAATGAACTGCTAAGATTTACATATTAAATTTCAACTGAGAGACAATCTGCATGAAGGAAAACTCATTTTAAATGACAAATGGTAATAATAAAGATGGAAAGGAAATAAAAGATAACTAGTTTACTTTTGTTTGGGTCTTATTTTGGCTCATTTGCTGGGACAAATGTTTTCATCAAAATATTTCTTTGTATTGCACTTTATTTAAGTCACTTATAATCTTACTTAGTATAGTTGACCATAATGAAAAAGGAATCCAGTGTTCCTTAATGTTATTTAAATTGTATAATATCAGACATTGTTGTTAAATATTATAATTAAACTGTGTAATCAATTGAGTATCCATTTTTATCCAAATAATTTGCCTTTTTATTTTAATAACACAAAGCTGCCGGAAACATATTGATCTCTTCATCCATTTTTCATTGCTAATTCTCCGTCTCTGCTCTTTCTTTCTCTAATCGTGGATTTAATGCCATATCATGGCTATGAAAATAGCCACTAGGAAATAAACTGTGGAATAAATGTCTTTTGTGCCACAAGTATCTGGGATATTTTTATAAGCACTTGTCAAAACCATATCTGTAAATATTAAATACAATAAAATCCTCAAGAGGATAAAATACCTCCAGTAATGTAAAACAGTATTATTGCCCCAAACAAACAGGCAAAATGAAAAGGAGATTTTTTTCCACAACCTCTGTTGCTGCTAAAAGAAAAAAAATTAAACTTGAATAACATGGGTCAAAACAAATTCTAACTACTACTAAATCAAAAGAAAATATTTCCAAACTACTGAGAACTTTTACATGCAGAAGCAGTTCAGATCAGCCATATAATTTTAATGATTAGTATTTCTGAGGCAAGTAGGTAATTTATTCAAAGGAATATAACACATGTGATTCAATCCTACTAGAGAAAGCTTTCCCAATTCCCTGAGAATCATTAAGGATCTGGGAAGATACTATCTCAAATTTCATAGCTTGTTCTATGAGAATCTTTCTCAACCTTGGGTTACTAGAAATGTTATCCACTGCTTTATGGAGGAGAGGATCGATATTAAATAAAAATCAAAAGGTGGAGGATACATAATAAGTATAAAGACTTAGGTTGAAAATGAAGTTTTAGAGAAAAACAACCATTATTAGTTTTATTGTCCCTAGAGAAAAGCCAAAATGAAAGCCATCATGGACTGGTCAAACAGGGATTACTAATCAAGGAAATAAGAAAAGCATGAAAGTTTAAAAGTGATAAGCCTTTACTAGGAAAACCACCATTCATTGTCCCCATCATGGAACCACCAGAAGACAAATTAGTGCTCAGTTATCATCCTGGACCACCAGTTGAATGCAATCAGCACATGTCCAGTTCAACAGCTGGTAGGAACAGGGATGAATCTGTTTTTGTGAGTTCTTGCATATATACAATATTGTCCACTTAAAAAAAAAAAGAAAGAAAAGGAGTATGTAAAGATATCACTAGGGCCTCTCTGAGCAATCTTAAGGGGCTCATGCTAGGGAGCATCCCCAACAAGGCAAGTAAGTTCCATTAACTTTATGGTAAATCCACCTCTGAGCTGGAGTAATACGCCTCTCTTCCTCCAGACTGTGCCTATGTCCCACCCCAACATTACATTCTCATCAGGAATCTAGGACTCACATAGATTTGCTGTCCACCATCAGCAAAATAGGGAGCAATGGAACCTGAGAACAGTGATGGTGGTGAGAAGGAAACTGCACCTATGGAATAGGCTTAATAGAATCCAATTTAAAATTTAAATGAGTCTGCAAAGGCAGTAACTATAGTGCTCACTCTAATTCTCGGCTTCTTTTTCAAATGTTGTCCCCTCTCCTCCTTCCATTCTCTCTCAGCAAATGACCTCAATATGTAATTAATGGAGTATAGGTAATTCATAAAATAGACCTTTCAATTTATGTCACAAACTCACGTGTTACTCTGCATTTCTGCCTACTCTTACCTCTTTCTCCTCATTTATAATGAAAACAGTGTTCTTTTTCATTTTTTTTCTTTTTTCTTTTTTTTTTTTTTTTTTTTGAGACGGAGTCTCACTCTGTCACCCAGGCTACAGTTCAGTGGTGTGATCTCAGCTCACTGCAAGCTCCGCCTCTGGAGTTCACACCATTCTCTTGCCTCAGCCTCCAGAGTAGCTGGGAATACAGATGCCGGCCACCGCACCCAGCTAATAATTTGTATTTGTAGTAGAGACAGTGTTTCACCATGGTCTCGATCTCCTGACCTCGTGATCCGCCTGCCTCGGCCTCCCAAAGTGCTGGGATTACAGGCGTGAGCCACCATGCCCGCCTCTTCTTCCTTTTTAAGATTAACTCTTTTTAAGATACGGACCTGTGTCTCTCTCTTCTTCTGTAATATCAGCCTGCTAAAAAAGGTTATATATACTCACTGACTCCACTTTTTCACAGCCCATTCAATCCTCAACTTACTTCAATCTGGATATAGTCCCCACAGCTTCACCAAATAACTCTCTCCATGGTACCAATTCTTGCTGATAACCCATGGACCATCAGTACTTATTTTATCTGACATCACCATTAATTACCTCCTTTTCTTAGAATATTTTCCTCCTTTCTAGCCACTCTGTCACAGTATATTATTTAATTTATCTTTTAAATATTGTATTATTTAAGTTTCTGTCTTAAGCCCATTTTATTTCACTCTAATCATGCTTCCTAGGCTACCTCATACTAATCATTGTTTCAAGAGCCATCTACATGTTTGTCATTGATGTCTCCAAAACCAGAATCGCCAACATAGAACTGATTCGAGGTTGAAATATGACCCACATATCATATGTATGTTAAATGTATTTATTTGACTCTGACAATGACACTTCAGACTCCGCATGTCCAAAAACAAATGCTTCATCTTTAGTTTCAAATACGTTCTGCACTCTTCCTGCTGGAAGAATGACAACAAATTTCCACCCAATAATCAAAGAAAGGAACCTCCACATTATCCCTGACTCCTTCCTTTCCCATATTCCATATACTCACTTGATTACCAATTCCCTGGATTCTACCTCCTAATACACCTTATTTCTAATTACTTATCTGTATCTAGACTTCAAATTCCAATAATTCATACACCATATATCTCTCACTTGGATAACTGCAACTATTTCTAACTCCTTGCTTCCTTCTCCAAATTTATCCATACTCTAATCCATTCTCCATACACTAGACTGAATTATATTGCTAACACAAAAAACCTGATAAAATGTTTATCCATAACTAAAATTTATCAATGACTTCTAATGCCTTCATGTGTAATTCTAAATGTCTTAATTTGGTCTGCAAGGTCCTTCATTAACTGCCTTCTGCCAACATCTCTAGTAATAGTGAACTTTCTCTACTTTCAGAAAAGTTAATATTTTCCTTGACTCTAAACTTCCAACTTTTCTGAAATATCCTTCACAAATCCTCTTAGATTATGTGTGTTTTCACCTGAAGAGTTCCAATCCCTTACACATCAATTTGGAATCTACGAAAAAGTTTGCCCTTCTTGATTTTTGAAATATTTTCCAATGTGCTCCCTACAGAAAACTGTACGTTCCTCATGAAAGCGCTTTCACAATGTCACGGGATCTTTAGGGTGTTGCTTCACCAGCCAGAAACTTCTGTGGTCGGTGACGCCTTCTGCTTGAGTATTGCTCGCACCTGCTGGGCTCATTCCACCCACTCGGCCTGGCAGGCTGCACTCGGCTCATGCTACTAGCTTGTGTTGGTGGCCCACACCTGCCAAGGGTGAGCCAGGTGCCCACAGAGCAGCGAGCAGTGTGGGGTCAAGCGAGCATAGGGTCTGGCCACTGCACACAGCCAGGCATGGCAGCTGCTGTGGCAGGGTGGGTAGCTCCAGGCACCAGCACAGGTGTTGGTTCCATGTGAGGCTGTAACTGGACAAGACGTACCATACGCGGCTTCCACTGTGGGCATCCATGTCTAGATGAGGGGAACACGGTGTTGCCGAGAAACTTGGAGACACCAGGAACCGCAGAGATCCAAATAGAATGTTACAGCTCTGGCTCAGGGAGCCCCTAGGTCTGGGCTCCCTGAAGGGTGGCAGCTCTTCCCTCCTATTGTCTCCCACAACGTGGTGAGTGGGGGTGTGTTTCAGTCCTGTTTGTGTTACAGCTCTTTTAGTCCCACCATTCAATGTGTCCCGAGTTTTTGTCCTGCATTCAGGAAGAATGAGGTACACAGACAACAGGAGAATGAGCAAGGTAGAGAGGAGCTACACTGAGTGGTAGAACAGTTTTTGGGAGACCTGAAGTGGGTAGCTCCTTTCCACAGGCAGGTCATCCAGATGAGTGCCCAGCACTCAGTGGAGAGGAAACCCACAGTGGGTAGCTCCTACCTGCAGGCAGGTCATCCCAATGTCTTTCTGCAGGCAGATCATCCATCAAATCTGCTGCCAACAACAGAGAGGAGACCAAGAGTGGGTAGCTCCTACCTGCAGGCAGGTCATCCCAACGTCTCTGCAACCCTCATCGGAGAGGAGACCAGAATGGGTAGCCCCTAGCCACAGGCAGCTCATACTGTCATCTGCCTGAGTCTGGCTGAGACTGGGTGTTTTGTAGACTTCAGAGAGAATAAAGTGCATTCTGATTGGTCCATGTGCAGGCCTGGACAAAGCACCATAAGTTCTCACACCAGTCTGTGGAACTGGCAGCCCAGGCCCCAGGCTTAAGGCTGTCCCTGGCTTGAAGGTGGGGATTCACTGGAGACCCACCCTTTTCTACCCAGGAGCCTATCTGCCTCCTACCATCCCTATATGTCATCCATAGTGCCCAGGCTGTTCAAGCCAAGGGGGCACCTGCAGGCCCACATCGAGCTGCTCTCAGAGCCCCCTGACCTCCCTCCCATGCTCATTGGTGCCCAAAGTTTGGAGGGAACTGAGGCAGTAGGGGGCTGGTGTGTCAGTGCCACCCTGAGTGTGCACATACCTGGCCAGGTAATGATGATTCCCAGGCTTAGCCACAACTTTGCTCCAAAATTGGAGCAGGTGCCAAGAACAGCCAGAGGCCATCCAGTGGGAGCAGGCACTTCTGAGCCTGCAGATGAACAGGGGGCTTCCTGAGCCCCAAGATACAGGTATGCCCAGGTCTGCAGCTGTGGCTGGGCGGCTACTGCTGCACCCAGGGGGGCAGGGCTCTCACCCCTTCAACTAGGAAGCAGGCAGGGCTACCACCAGTTCCCTGCTACCACCAGCTTCATGGAGCACACAGCCCCAGCTGTGCCTCCCTCCCTGCAGCCAGTGTCATAGCAGTGGCCACTCCAGATGGGCTGCTGCTGCCATCAACACTATATTTATTTACCTAGCAGTCTATATCCACTATTAGAATGTTTGTAGGACCAATATCTGTCTTATTTACCATTTCTTGGAACCAATTATAGCAAGTAGAGGGTAATTGAGAAAACACGTATGGGACAGAAAAGTTATCTATAAAGACAAAATAGTACTCTGAAATGTCCAACAAAACAAAATGAACTTCAAAAAGCACAATTTAGTTATTATTCCAGACATACATAGATAAATGTGGGTCTGGTTAAAACTAAAATTTTCTATTTCAATTGAAACACATAGAAGCAATCTAAAATAACATTAGTATTTATCACGAGCTTTGGAATTGCAAGTAAAAAAATAACATGGGGATATGCATGGTACCACCTGTTTGCAGTCCTAGCTACTCAGGAGGTTGTGGTTGATTGCTTTGTTGAGCCCAAGAGTTCAAGATTATAGTGAACTATGATGGCACCACTACTCTTTAGCCTGAGTGACAAAGCAAGATGCTCTCTCAAATACATAAATTCATTAAATAATAACATGAGCACAGGTTACTAATGACCTGCTCCATCTCAGAATTCCATGGAAATACAAATAAAAAAGAAAAAAATTAAAGAAAAATTTTTATTGATGTTAGAAATAAAGTGAAAATATACTGTCTCTAATAAATACATAAATTCATTAACTAATAACATGAGCACAGGTTACTAATGACCTGTTCCATCTCAGAATTCCATGGAAATACAAATAAAAAAGAAAAAAATTAAAGAAAAATTTTTATTGATGTTAGAAATAAAGTGAAAATATACTGTCTCTAATAAATACATAAATTCATTAAATAATAACATGAGCACAGGTTACTAATGACCTGTTCCATCTCAGAATTCCATGGAAATACAAATAAAAAAGAAAAAAATTAAAGAAAATATTTTATTGATGTTAGAAATAAAGTGAAAATATACAGTCCACATTGCAGCAAATCACTGCAGAGTGTTGTGATACTGGCATTCTCACAGGTTGGGAATAATGAATATGAGTACAAATTTCAAGGCCATAAAAATATTTAGTTTTTGGCACAGTCATTCCAGATCTAAAGAGTTATATTAAAAATATTATGAAGTGTTTTTTTTTCTTTTGTTTTGTTTTGTTTTTTCCCCAAGATGGAGAATAGGAGGCAGTGTTACTGTGCCTCTCCCCCGAATCGGAAGGACCGAATAGTGGGTGAAGTTTCACACTGCGAACTTTTGTTCCAAGAACCACTGCAGGAACTTACCAGAAAAACCCAAAGAATTCACAGATCCTTTGAAAAAAGTCACAGGCTGCAGCACACTCTGTGAGACAGGCAAAAAACTGTGGATTTCTGGAGTATGAGAGGGAGACAGCCTGCCTCCAAACACACATCTCCACTGGGGAATCTGAAAACCCAGATCATGGTAGAAGGTCTTCATCCTACCTAGAGCTGGAACAGATTTAGGAAGTGCATAAAATATAATAGCAGAAGCAGCAGCTGGAAGAGCCTGATAAGCATTCCCAGTCTCCAATGTGAACCCAGGAAAGTCATCCCTGACTGTGTCTCACAGGGGCCCTCAGGAAAGGCCGCCAGCAAACTCAAGGAGGGGTCAAAGGGTGAAAGAAGGTCCCGGTTAAAATTTGTGATATAATTTTGAGTGGGCACCGACTCCCTTGAACAGCATCTGGTGGGTGAATGGGAAGTGCTGCAGATACAAGCACAGGAGTGGGGTGCCCAGCATTGCAGGAAGACAGGGAGGGGCATGGCCTGAAAGCCATGCTCGCTTTCTCAGAGGGGAAGCTTATGGCCTGGGGCAGGTCTGATTTCTGTGTGCAGGCTGCCTGGATCTAGACCACTTGCTGTTGGCAGGGAACTGTGGGAACAAGACTGGCCTCACCAACTGCATGGGAATTGCTGCCAGCTATTTCCCACTACCCTTGTGACTACCGCACAGCAGAGGTAGTCATACTCCCTCCCCTCTGGAGCATTACCCCAAGCGGCCTGAGAAACACTGCCCCATCCCCCACAGTGGCCTTGGCAAGCCCCGCCTAAGGAGAGTCTGCCTTCAGACCAGCCTCACCCTGCCCCCACCTGATGGTATTTCTCTACCCACCCTGGTAGCTTAACACAAAGGATATAAACTCTTGGGAACTTTATGGCCTTGCCCATCACCTGAGAAACCAGAATACTTCCTCTGGCAAACTTAGGGCAAGCTCAAAGCCCACTACTACTATAGCAGCTGGTGCTCTCTTGCAAGTGCCACCTCCTCACTAGAGGCCAACCAACACAAGCCATCACAGCACAGCTCTGTAGAATAACACTGCACCCAGGGAGGAGAAAATGGCTGCTAACACTACTGCTTGCAACACCCTGACTAACCAGAAGTCCTGAGTCTGTCCACATGACAACTTCACTGATAGCATAATTGGCATTCAAGAAAGCTAGGCATTCAAGAAAGCTAGCAATCTAAGCCTATCTGCAACCAAGGAATCTCATAGAGTCTACATCACTCCCCTGCCACATCCATCAGAGCAGGTGCTGGTACCCACTGCTGGGAGACTTGAAGACAGATCACATCACTAGAGTCCTTGCAGACATTCCTCAGCATTGCCCTGGAGCCTGGTAGCACCAATGGGTGGCTAGATTGAAAAGAGCAATAATAATCACCGTAATCTGGTTCTCAGGAAGCCCCATTTCTAGGGCAAGGGGATAAAACCACATCAAGGGATCACCCAGTGAGATAAAAGTACCTTAACAGCAGGCCTTGAATCCCAGGTCTTTCCACCGGTGGGATATTTCCAACAGAAAAACAATCCAGTGCTGGGTGCAGGAGGGAAAGACTGTACCTCCACCCCAACAGGCAGGCATGCTATACTCTGTGATCATGAGGGGCCTTGGAGAAGGGGTCTTTATTCTCCATTGATACTCCACTGAGACACAGCTGGGGCTTCCCCTACTGGGACACAGCATGTATGCACCTATAGGCAGCATTTTGGGGACAATGCAGGGTGAGTGCAGCCCCACAGGGGAACACCTCCAATTCAGGCCTGCATGAAAGGCAGAGTCACAATTCCTCCCTGCTTAAAACATCAATATTCCAGGGTGGCTGGCAAGATGGCTGAATAGGAAGAGCTTCAGTATGCAGCTCCCAGCCAGATCAATGCAGAAAGCGGGTGATTTCTGCATTTCCACTGAGGTACCTGGCTTATGTCATTGGGACAGGTTAGACAGTGGGTGCAGCCCACACAGGGCAAGCAGAAGCAGGGTGGGGCATCGCCTCAGCTGGGAAGCACAACAGGTTGGGGAACGCCCTCCTGTAGCCAATGGAAGCTGTGAGGGACTGTGCCGTGACGAATGGTGTACTCCGGCCCAGATACTATGCTTTTCCCACAGTCTTTGTAACCTGCAGACCAGGAGATTCCCTCGGGGGCCTATGCCACCAGGGCCCTAAGTTTCAAGCACAAAATTGAACAGCCATTTGGGCAGACAACGAGCTAGCTGTAGGAGTTTTTTATTCGCACCCCAGTGGCAGCTGGAATGCCAGTGACACAGAACCATTCACTCCCCTGCAAAGGGGGCTGAAGCCAGGGAGCCAAGTGGTCTAGTTCAGTGGATCCCACCCCCACGGAGCCCAGCAAGCTAAGATCCACTGGCTTGAAATGTTCGCTGCCAGCACAGCAGTCTGAAGTCGACCTGGGACTCTCTACCTTGGAGAGGGGAGTGGCGTCGGCCATTACTGAGGCTTGAGTAGGCGGTTTTTCCCTCCCAGTGTGAATAAAGCTGCCAGGAAGTTCAAACAGGGCAGAGCCCACCACAGCTTGGCAAAGCTGTTGAAGCCAGACTGCCTCTCTAGATTTCTCCTCTCTGGGCAGGGCATCTCTGAAAGAAAGGCAGTAGCCCCAGTCAGGGGCTTTTAGATAAAACTCCCATCTCCCTGGGACAGAGCATCTGAGGGAAGGGGAAGCTGTGGGTGCAGTTTCAGCCGACTTAAACGTTCCTGCTTGCTGGTTCTGAAGAGAGTAGTGTATCACCCAGCACAGTACTCAAGCTCTGCCAAGGCACAGACTACCTCCTCAAGTGGGTCCCTGACCCCTGTACCTCCTGACTGGGCAACACCTCCCAGCAGGGGTCGACAGTCACCTCATACAGGAGAGCTCCCACTGATGTCTGGCAGGTGATCCTCTGGGACGAAGATTCCAGAGGAAAGAACAGGCAGCAATCTTTGCTGTTCTGCAAGCTCCACTGGTGATACCCAGACAAACAGGGTCTGGAGTGGACCTCCAGCAAACTCCAGCAGACCTGCAGCAGAGGGCCCTGACCGTGAGAAGGAAAAATAACAAAGAGAAGGGAATAGCATCAACATCAACAAAAAGGACGTCCACACAGAAACTCTGTCCGAAGGTCACCAAAAGCAAAGACCAAAAGTAGATAAATCCATGAAGATAAGGAAAAACCAGCACAAAAGGGCTGAAAATTCCCAAAACCAGAAGGCCCCTTTTCCTCCAAAGAATCACAACTCCTTGCCAGCAAGGGAACAAAATTGGACAATGAGTTTGATCAATTGACAGACTTAGGCTTCAGAAGGTGGGTAATAACAAACTCCTCCAATCTAAAGGAGCATGTTCTAACCCAATGCGAGGAAGCTAAGAACATTGATAAAAGGTCAGAGGAATTGGTAACTAGAATAATCCATTTAGAGAAGAACATAAATGACCTAATGGAACTGAAAAACACAGCACAAGCACTTCGTGAAGCATACACAAGTATCAACAGCCAAATCGATCAAGCAGAAGAAAGGATATTAGAGATGGAAGATCAACTTAATGAAATAAAGCATGAAGACAAGATTAGAGAAAAAAGAATGAGAAGGAAAAAACAAAGCCTCCAAGAAATATGGAACTATATGAAAAGACCAAACCTACATTTGATTGGTATCCCTGAAAGTGATGGAGAGAATCGAACCAGGTTGGAAAAGACTCTTCGGGATATTATCCAGGAGAACTTCCCCACCGTAGCAAGATAGGCCAACATTCAAATTCAGGAAATACAAAGAACATCACAAAGATACTCCTCAAGAAGAACAACCCCAAGACACATAATCGTCAGATTCATCAAGATTGAAATGAAGGAAAAAATGTTAAGGGGTAACCAGAGAGAAAGGTCGTGTTACCCACAGAGGGAAGCCCATCAGAATAACAGCGGATCTCTCTGCAGATACCCTACAAGCCAGAAGAGAATGGGGGCTAATAGTCAACATTCTTAAAGAAAAGAATTTTCAACCTGGAATTTCATATTCAGCCAAACTAAGCTTCATAACCGAATGAGAAATAAAATCCTTTACAGAGAAGCAAATACTGAGAGATTTTGTCACCACCAGGCCTGCCTTACAAGAGCTCCTGGAGGAAGTACTAAATATGGAAAGGAAAAACTGGTACCAGCCACTGCAAAAACATACCAAGTTGTAAAGACCATTGACACTATGAAGAAACTCCATCAACTAATGGGCAAAATAACCAGCTAGCATCGCAATGGCAGGATCAAATTCACACACAATAATATTAACCTTAAATGTAAACAGGCTAAGTGTCCCAATTAAAAGACCCAGACTGGGAAATTAGATAAGGAGTCAAGACCCATTGGTATGCTGTATTCAGGAGGCTCATTTCACATGCAAAGACATACACAGGCTCAAAATAAAGGGATGGAGGAATATTTACCCAGCAAGTAGAAAGAAAAAAAAAAAGTAGGGATTGCAATCCTAGACTCTGATAAAACAGACTTTAAACCAACAAAGATTTTAAAAAAGACAAAGAAGGGCATTACATAATGGTAAAGGGATCGATGAAACAAGAAGAGCTAACTCTCATAAATATATATGCACCCAATACAGGAGCACCCAGATTCATAAAGCAAGTTCTTAGAGACCTGCAAAGAAACTTAGACTCCCACACAATAATAGTGGGAGACTTTAACACCATACTGTCAATATTAGACAGATCAATGAGACAGAAAAGTAACAAGGATATTCAGGACTTGAACTCAGCTCTGGACCAAGTGGACCTAATAGACATCTACAGAACTCTCCACCCCAAATCAACAGAATACACATTCTTCTTGTGACCACATCACACTTATTCTAAAATTGACCACATAACTGGAAGTAAAACACTCCTCAGCAAATGCAAAAGAAAGGAAATCATAACAAACAGTCTCTCAGTCCACATTGAAATCAAATTAGAGCTCAGGATTAAGAAACTCACTCAAAACTGCACAACTAGATTGAAACTGAACAACCTGCTCCTAAATGACTACTGGGTAATAACAAAATTAAGGCAGAAATAAATGAGTTCATTGAAATCAATGAGAACAATGACACAACATATCAGAATCTATGGGACACAACTAAAGCAGTGTTTAGAGAGATATTTTTACCACTAAATGCCCACAGGAGAAAGCAGGAAATATCAAAAATCAACACCCTAATATCACAAATAAACAAACTAGAAAAACAAGACTAAACAAATTCAAAAACTAGCAGAAGATAAGAAATAAGATCAGAGCAGAGCTGAAGGAGATAGAGACACAAAAAACCTTCAAAAAATCAATGAATCCAGTAGCTGGCTTTTTGAAAATATTAACAAAATAGACAGACCACTAGACAGACTAATAAAGAAGAAAAGAGAGAAGAATCAAATAGACACGATAAAAAATGATAAAGGGGAGATCAACACCGATGCCACAGAAAAATACAAACTACCATCAGAGAACACTATAAACACCTCTATGCAAATAAAGTAGAAAATCTAGAAGAAATGGATAAATTCCTGGATATAGACACACCCTCTCAAGACTAAACCAGGGAAAAGTCGAATCTCCGAATAGACCAATAACAAGCTTGGAAATTGAGGCATTAATTAATAGCCTAACCACCAAAAAAAAGCCCAGGACCAGACGGATTCACAGCCGAATTCTACCAGAAGTACAAGAGGAGCTGGTACCATTCCTTCTGAAACTATTCCATACCAAAGTAAAAGAGGGACTCCTCCCTAACTCATTTTATGGGGCTAGGATCCTCCTGATACCAAAACCTGGAAGAGACACACACACACAAAAAGAAAATTTCAGGCCAATATCCCTGATGAACATCAATGCAAAAATCCCTAATAAAATACTGGCAAACCAAATCCAGCAGCACATTAAAAAGCTTATCCACCACGATCAAATCGGCTTCATCCCTGGGATGCAAGGCTGGTTCAACATACACAAATCAATAAATGTAATCTATCACATAAACAGAACCAATGACAAAAACCACATGACTATCTCAATAGATGCAGAAAAGGCCTTTGATAAAATTCAACACCCCTGCAGGCTAAAAACACTCAATAAACTAGGTATTGATGGAAAATATCTTAAAACAATAAGAGCTATTTATGACAAACCCACAGCCAATATCATACTGAAACAGCAAAAGCTGGAAGCATTCCCTTTGAAAACCAGCACAAGACAAGGATGCCCTCTCTCACCAATCCTATTCAACATAGTATTGGAAGTTCTGGCCAGGGCAATTAGGCAAGAGAAAGAAACAAAGGGTATTCAAATAGGAAGAGAGGATGTCAAATTGTCTCTGTTTGCAGATGACATGATTGTATATTTAGAAAACCCCATCGTCTCAGCCCCAAATCTTCTTAAGTTAATGAGCAACTTCAGCGAAGTCTCAGGATACAAAATCAATGTGCAAAAATCGCAAGCATTCCTATACACCAATAATAGACAGAGAGCCAAATCATGATTCAACTCCCATTCACAATTACTGCAAAGAGAAAACAATACCTAGGAATAAAACTTACAAGGGATATGAAGGACCTCTTCAAGGAGAACTACAAACCATTGCTCAAGGAAATAAGAGAGGACACAAACAAATGGAAAACATTCCATGGTCATGGATAGGAAAAATCAATATCGAGAAAATGACCATACTGCTCAAAGTAATTTACAGATTCAATGCTATCCCCATCAAGCTACCATTGACTTTCTTCACAGAATTAGAAAACACTACTTTAAATTTCATACGGAACCAAAATGAGCCTGTATAGCTAAAGCAATCCTAAGCAAAAAGAACAAATCTGGAGGCATCACGCTACCTGACTTCAAACTATACTACAAGGTTACAGCAACCAAAACAGCATGGTGCCAGTATCAAAACAAATATATAGAAAAATGGAACAGAACAGAGGCCTCAGAAATAACGCCACACATCTACAACAATTTGACCTTTGACAAATCTGACAAAAACAAGCAATGGGGAAAGGTTAATAAATGGCATTGGGAAAACTGGCTAGCCATATGCAGAAAACTGAAACTGGACCCCTTCTTTACACCTTAAAAAAATTAACTGAATATGGATTAAAGACTTTAATGTAAGACCTCAAACCATAAAAACCATAGAAGAAAACCTAGGCAATACCATTCAAGACATAGGCATGGGCAAAGACTTCACAACTAAAACACCAAAAGCAATGGCAACAAAAGCCAAAATTGACAAATGGGATCTAATTAAACTAAAGAGCTTCTGCACAGCAAAAGAAACTATCATCAGAGTGAACACGCAACCTACAGAATGGGAGGAAATTTTTGCAATCTATCCATTTGACAAAGGGCTAATATCCAGAATCTACAAAGAACTTCAACAAATTTAGAAGAAAAAAACAAACGACTCCTTCAAAATGTGGGTAAAGGGTATGAACAGACACTTCTCAAAAGAAGTGTGGCCAGTAAGCATATGAAAAAAAGCTCATCATCACTGGTCATTAGAGAAATGCAAATCAAAAACACAATGAGATACCATCTCATGCCAGTTAGAATGGCGATCATTAAAAAGTCAGAAAACAACAGATGCAGGAGAGGATGTGGAGAAATAGGACCATTTTTACACTGTTAGTGGGAGTGTAAATTAGTTCGAACATTGTGGAAGACAGTGTGGCAATTCCTCAAGGATCTAGAACCAGAAATACCATTTGATCTAGCAATTCCATTACTGGGTATACACCCAAAGAATCATAAATCATTCTCCTATAAAGACACATACATATGTACGTTTATTGCAGCACTGTTCACAATAGCAAAGACTTGGAACCAACCCAAATGTCCATCAATTATAGACTGAATAAAGAAAATGTGGCACATATACACCACAGAATACTATGCAGCCATAAAAAAGGATGAGTTCATGTCGTTTGCAGTGACATGGATGAATCTGGAAACCATCATTCTCAGCAAACTAACCCAAGAAGAGAAAACCAAACACCGCATGTACTCACTCATAAGTGGGAGTTGAACAATGAGAACACATGGACACAGGGAGGGGAACATCACACAAGGGGGCCTATCAGGAGGTGGGGGGCTTGGAGAGGGATAGCATCAGGAGAAATATCTAATGTAGATGATGGGTTGATGGGTGCAGCAAACCACCATGACACGGGTATACCTATGTAACAAACCTGCATGTTCTGCATATATATCCCAGTACTTAAAGTATAATAAAAAATTTTTTAAAAAAAACATTCCTATAGATAAAAAGAGGTGCCTGACTGATCTGAATAGCTGAAATACTGGGACAAGAATAAGGCTATAAAATAAATAGCTTTCTTGCTGGCTGGACAAGGGAGCTGAAGTAGCTTCCACTCTTCACCCTGATAATACCTCAGCAAATCTAATTGTGAGTTCCCCCAGCCACCCTCATCAAGGCTGGGGCCTTGGACCACCATTAGGTATTACATCCACCCACCTGCCTTAACAACAACCTGTTCCTACCCAGGGTTACCTCTCCTATTGGCCTGAAGCCTGAATCGTCAACTCAGTAAATAAAATACTGGAGGAAAATTAAATAAATTGAACACCAAAAAAGAATAAATCAAGCTTCAAGAGATTCTTGTCATTCCATCCCCATAGGAGACAATGAAATTACCCACACACCAAAAACATAGCTACTGCAAACGGCATCTGAGAAAGCTAGCACACAAAGTCTCTCCATAACTAAGGAATTCATAAAAAGTTTTCCACCTAAAAGTACCCAAAATCAAATTAGGCTAAAATAAACATAAAGTCCAATCCTTAAGGGGTAGGGCCAGGGAAGAATTTTTTTTAAAAAAACACAATCCAATCAAAAATAAATTTAAGAACAATTTGAAGAGATAATCTGCTCAAATCAGAAGGAACCAGAAAAGTAACTATGGTAATATGACAAAACAGGGTTCTAAAACACCCAGAAGAGATCACACTAGCTCCCCAGCAATGGATCCAAACCAATAAAAAAATATATTTGAATTACCATATAAAGAATTTAGATGACTGATTATTAATCTGCTCAAGGACATAGCAGATAAAGGTGAAACCAACTTAAAGAAATTTAAAAAACAAATCCAGGATATGAATGAAAATTTTTCAGAGAAGTGTATATCATAAAGAAAAAACAATCACAAATTCTGGAAATGAAAGGCACACTTAGGGCAATGGAAAGTTTCAACAATAGACTAGAACAAGTAGAAGAAAGAATTTCAGAACTGGAAGACAAGCCTTTAGAATTAACCCAATCTGACAAAGGCAAAGAAAAAAGAATTTGAAAAAAATGAACAAAGTCTCCAAGAAATATAGGATTATGTAAAGTGGCCAAACCTAAGAATAATTGCTATTTCTTAGGAAAAAGAGAAATCTAAAGTTTGGAAAATTTATTTGAAGGAATAATAGAGGAAAACTTCTCTGGCCTTCCTAGAGATCTAGACGCCTGAATACAGAAACCTCGTATACTTCCTGGGAAATTCATCACAAAAAGACCATCACCAACATACATAGTCATAAAATCATCTAAAGTCAAGACAAATGAAAGAATCTTAAGAGCTGTGAGACAAAGCATCAGGTAATCTATAAAGAAAAACTTATCAGATTAACAGCAGATTTATCAGCAGAAACCATAGAAGTCAGAAAGGATTGAGGTGATGGGTGAAAAAAAATCTTAGAAATCACCACTAAAGAACTTATGCTTGTGACAAAGAAAACCCTGTACCCCAAAAAGTATTGCATAAAATTTTAAAAATATTATGAGTTACATATAAAGATTTACATATAATGACATTTTGTCTTATGTAAAGTTTCCTTGAAACTTAGAATTGATCTGTAAGTGATTTATTGAGCAAGTGCTCTCAAGAGAAACCAATAGAACAGGGAAGGGAAAATAAGTCAATCGGGGTAAGATTTTAGGCAACACACCAGCTTTAAACTAATCCCACAAATTTGCTCTAGACTACAATGTACAGTATGAGTAAAGTATATCTCTGTTTAATCCAAGGGAGCTGGGTTTTATGCTTTAGTACACTGCATCACATGAAGGCGTAATCTACCAGATACTTCAATGATTTTGCTTTTAGCCTTCTAAAATGCCTCCTTTACCACAAGGGCAGTCTTTCAAGAGATTTTATAGCAATTAGGCCATTAGAAGCAAAGAAAATAATTTTTGGAAGGGACAATGGGCATATAAAATGATAAATTAATGATATGATTTGGTTGTGTCCCCACCCAAATCTTGAATTGTATTATAGTTCTCATAATCCCCATGTGTTGTGGGAGGGACCCAGTGGGAGGGAATTGAATTCTGGGGGCGGTTACCCCCATGCTGCTGTTCTCATGATAGTGAGTGAGTTCTCACAAGAGATGATGGTTTTATAAGGGGCTTTTCCCAGTTTTGCTCAGCACTTCTTCTTCCTACCATCATGTCAAGAAGGATGTGTTTGCTTTCCCTTCTGCCATGATTGTAAGATTCCTGATACCTCCCTAGACATGCATAACTGTGAGTTAATTAACCCTCTTTCCTTTGTAAATTACCCAGCCTTGGGCAGTCCATTATAGCAATGTGAGAACAGACTAATACAATGTCTAATGAAATATAGGTGAAATATGAACTGAACATATGTTATGACTGAACATAAACATTGGCCAAAGTATTTTCTAATCATAGTAAAATGGAAGAAATATGAGAAACAGCAAATTCATGGGTACGTAAAACATTCTTGTTACAGATTTCTAGACAGTCTTTAAAATCATAATCCTGTTTTTGACAATACTTAAGAATATGTAATGCTTAATTTTATGAAACGAGAAGATAATGACTCTTTTAATTTTACATACACTATGGGTCACTACATGTTCACATCATAACATATTTGTATACAATATATGCACATATAATCTCTATTTTATAAGAGGCTACATTTAAAAGTACAAAATCTAAAGAAATCTCTACAATCAGGAAATAAGCAAGATAATTCATGACTTTATAATAAAATAACATATTATAAACCCATCAAAATGAGGATATTGGTTCACCCAATAAATAGAGTAAATATCATCAATGGAAATCTAGATTGCAGACACTGAAGAACAAAGGCCCTAGAGTTAGATTTTCTTAGTTCAAAATCTAACTGTTCTGTTCTGCCACTGAACAGTTGTGTGTCTTTGGCAAGTTACTTTCTCCTTTTAAGGACTAGCTTCCCACTATTCACAATAGCAAAGACATGGAATCAACTTAGGTGTCCACCGATGGAAGATTGGATAAAGAAAATGTGATACATACACACCATGGAATACTACAACCATTAAAAAAGAAAAAAAAAATCATGTGTTTTGAAGTAACATGGATGCAGCTGGAGGCCATTATTTGAAGTGAATTAACTCAGAAACAGAAAACCAATTACTGCCCATTTTCTCACTTATAAGAGGGAGCTAAATCTTGGGTACACATAAACACAGGGATGGGAACAATAGACACTGGGGACTCCAAAAGAAGAGAGAGGGACAAGAATTGAAAAACTTACTATTGGGTACTATGTTTACTATCTCGGTGATGGACCAATAGAAGCCCAAACCTCAGCATCACACAATGTACACTTGTAACAAACCTGTAGGTGTACCCTTGAATCTAAAATAAAAATGGAAATTTTTAGAAAACAGTCTTAGCTTCCTTGTCTGTAAAATAGGAGCAATAATAGTCTGTGTTTTAGAAGGTTGTTGAATTAAATGAGCTGACAGGAAAATTAAATTGGCTCCATAGGGAAATAACTTATAACTATGATTGATACATAGAAAACACTCAATAGAAGTTAGACATTATTAACATATAAGTAATATTTAGTATTTACTGCATATTTATTCAATCATAAGAAAAAGAAACATCTCTTTCACTGACAAGCAGACAAAACCACAGATAAAACCGTCCTTTGACTGTTTTTAGGTAATAACTAGGAAAATAGAGTCCTCTGGTCAGGGCTAATATAAGAAGACTTCAAAGTAATGAGTATTGTGAAAATAAAGCTCTTTAAAAATGTGAAATGAGATTATTTATGTGGGTAGGAAGTGTGGTAACTTAATGTTCTGTGGTAAAATGTCAAGTGTTTGGCTGGAACACCAGTTGTAAAAATCTATAGCAAGAAAGGTGGAAAGGTAGAAAAATGCTTATAGAAAAAAACAGATGCTGCCTTTCAAAATTGTCTAACAAGAACTTCATACCCAAATGGCATAAGTTAACCATCAGATGAAGCTTTATATTAGGGAATTAATGGGTGTCTCAGAGAGAAAGAAAAAAAAAGTTTCAATTTTCCATTTGTATTATCTCTGAACTTTTGAATACTTTCTAATGAATAATCTGTAGGGGTGGTTTCTTGATCCCTTGAGTATTTTATATTCCCTGACAAAGTTTTGTGCTAGTAGTACTGACTTGATTTTCAACCAAATATTGCAGTTTTCTCCTTTGACATTTTATGAAGAATTACACAACTTTTCTTTTCTTAGTCTAGTTAAATAAGATGCATCGAGCATACATAAGTGGCCCTACTACCATGGCAGTATTAAAATTAATAATAAGATACATACAACTTTAGCAACTTATATTTTAAAAGCTCATGAAAAAAATTTTAGAGAGTTCTTAAAGAACTCTTTTAAAGAACTTAAGGCCACAAGCAGCTTGATCTGCATGGTGAGACAGAATCCCACTATTGGAAACATTGACAAATGACAAATCAAAATAAATAAATATAGCAAAGTAGGAAGAACCTTGAACTGGGATTGAGGGTAACTGATAGTTTTGAGTTTGCAATTAACAATCTGTATAATCAGAAATACCACAGAATCTCATGAGTCAAAATATTAACCTAGAAGATCAAGATTTCCTTCTATTTCCTATTTTATAATACTTACATAACTTATAATTTTACTTGTTTATGTGTGTTTGTCACAGTACTGCAACATCCAAGTGGTCAAGAGTCATGTCTTATTTACACTGGAGTATCAAATATATGATAAGTCTCCAATAAGTGTTTGTTTAGTAAATGAATTATGTTCAGAAAGACGACAAGTTAGATATTCAAACATACACTCCAACTAAAAGTAATAAAAAATGCTGATATGAAATCACCGAAACAACAGAGTAAAAGCAAGCTGACTTTATTCCCCTAACTGAAAACCAAAAATACATATATACTGCCAAGATTATTACCAGCAATATCCTAAAATTCAAATACAGGGATGAGATCATTTCTAGGCCATAGAGAATTTTAAAACTCCATGCAGACAGTAAGAGAATCAGACTTTTATATCAGTAACGACTGGTCCCAATCTACCAGATATCCTCCCATATATAAAATTTCCCCTGAACTCACAGTTTCTACACTGGAAAAAGTGAAATCAAGATGGACAACCACTTCCTTACCACGTTGGTTTCCCTGGCAGGAGAACTGTCTCTGCCTCAACCCACAAAAGCATCTCGAGTGCCCAAAGGGAGAAAAACCACTGAGGACAGCCAAAGACAAAGAGAGGAGGCAGGACTAGCAGTCTCAAACCACAGAACTCTGCTCTATATCTCAGTCAATGGAAACACCAAATCAGAGGGCCTGTTTAGTAGAACCATACTGTTGGAAGCATATTCCACAGTTCCCCTGGGCATGAGTTCCTAGTCAGGTTTCCCATACTGTTGAGGTACTTGTTGCTGTTGTTGTTGTTGTTGAAATGGAGTCTTGTTCTATCACTCAGGCTGGAGTGCAGTGGCACAATCTAAGCTCACTGCAACCTCCATCCCCTGGGTTCAAATTGATTCTCCTGCCTCACCCTTCCAAGTAGCTGGGATTACAGGTGCCTGCCACCACACGTGGCTAATTTTTGTATATTTATTTATTTATTTATTTTTGTAGAGACAGGATTTTGCCATGTTGACCAGGCTGGTCTTGAACTCCTGACCTCAGGAGATCCATCCACCTCAGCCTCCCAAAGTGCTAGGATTACAAGCGTGAGCCACTGCACCCAGCCAGGATATTTTTTGTAGGATTTCCCCAATCAGGATGGGCAATATTCCAAACATTTGCTAGAACCAAAGCAAACATGGGTTCAAGGTGCCACCTAGTGCCAAATAGAAGGCAGTAACCTAGTGAAAATATATTCAACAGGTTGGGTACAGCAAGCCACCATGGCATGTGTCTACCTATGTAACAAACCTGCATGTTCTGCACATGTACCCCAGAACTTAAACTATATAAAATATATATATGTGTATATATATACATATATATCTATGCACAAGCACATACATGTATATATATGTATATATTCAACAGGTAAATTGTAAACGTATCCAAGAACAAAACATAAGAAAACAGACAGAGAAGACTGGAATATATAACTGATTCTTCAATGAGAAAACATAGATGTACATCCACAGGAAACAACAATAAACAGGGAACCATGATATCCACAAATTAACAACATATGAAACCAGTGAGTAAGAAAGAAATATGTTTGCTGAGCTGAAAATTTTTTAGAAACTGTCCAAAGAAAAAAATGGATCAAATAGAGGAGAGAATCAGTGAGCTTGAAGACAGGATATTTGAAAATACACACAAAAAGAACAGAAAGGAACAAAGAACACCTATAAGATATTTTTAAAAACCACCTCAAAAGAGCAAATTTAAGAATTATTGGTGTTCAAGAGAGCTGAGAAAGAGCAAGTGGTAGAAAGTTCATTAAAAATGTTAACAGAAGTCTTTCCGACTTCAGAAAGATGTAAGTATCTAGATACAGGATAGTTAGAGATCACCAAATGGATTCAATCCAAATGAGACTACCCCAAGGTCTATAACAAGCAAACTTTCAAAGGTCAAGGACAAACAGAGAATCGTAAAAACAGCAAGGGAGAGGAAGCAAATAACGTTTAAAGGAGTTTCCATTTGTCTGGCAACAGACTTCTCTCAATGGAAATCATACAAGCCAGGAGAAAGTGAGACAACATATTCAAAGTGCTGAAGGTAAAGGGCTGCCAACCAAGAACATGTACCCAGCAAAGTTGTGCTTTGAACATGAAAGAAAGATAGTTTTTCCCAGACAAAGTCTGAAAATGTTTATCACCACCAGACTTGTCTAACAACAAATGCTAAAGGGAGTTCTTCATTCTAAATAATAATGATAATAATAATAATAATAAAACACAAAAATCCAAAAAACAAATTGGAGTTGTATAAAGGCCACTGGTAAAAGTGAGTACACAGAAAAACAGAATGCTCTAAAACTGTAATTGAAGTGTACAATCTACTCAAAATTATAGTATAAAGACTAGAACACGAGTATACCAAAAAAGTAGCTAGAGCAACTTGTTAAGTGATAGATAATATAAAAAGATTGAAATTGAGACAATATAAACTCAAAATGTGTGGACAAGGGAGTTAAAGCTGAGTGTTTCCAGTTTTCTGTTTTTGTTTTTTGTTTCTTTTCTATTGTATTCTTCGTGATGAAAGATAAGTTGTCATCTGTTTAAAATAATTTTGTATCCAGCATCATGGTGACCACAAAGCAAAAATCTGTAATAGATACACTAAAAACAACCAATTAATTGAAACATACTACCAGAGAAAATCACTTAACTATAAAGGAAGACAGTAAGAAGAGAAAAAAGGGAGAGGAGTTACAAAACAAGAAAACAGTAACAAAATGGCAATTTTAAGTTCTTACCAATCAATAATAACATTAAATATAAGCAGACTAAATTCTGCAATTAAAAGACATAGAGTAGCTAAATGAATTTTAAAAGTAAGACTCAACTATATGTTGCCTCCAACAAACGTACTTCACCTTTAAAGACAGCATAGACTGAAATTGAAAAAATGGAAAATGAATTCCATCAAAATGGAACAAAAAAAGAGCAGAAATTCCTGACACTCATGTTAGATATAGTAGACCACAAGTTAAAGACTATAACAAGAGACAAAGAAGGTCACAATAAAGGTCATAATAAAGAGTTCAATTCAACAAGATGATGTAACAATTATTGATACCTGTGCACTCAACAATGGACCACTAAAATATATAAAACAAATTTGACCCAGCACTTTGGAAGGCCAAGGTGGGCAGATCATGAGGTCAGGAGATCAAGACCATCCTGGCTAACATGGCGAAACCTTGTCTCTATTAAAAATACAAAAAAAAAATCAGCATGGCGTGGTGGTGGGCGCCTGTACTTGGGAGGCTGAGGCAGGAGAATGGTGTGAACCCAGGAGGCGAAGCTTGCAGAGAGGTGAGATCACGCCACTGCCCTCCAGCCTGGGCTACAATGCGAGACTCCATCTCAAAAAAAAAAAAAAAAACTTGATAGATCTAAAGGGAGAGATCAAGTGAAATCTCTCCAGACATGATGGCTCACACCTGTAATCCATTTGGAAGACTGAGGCGGACAGATCACTTGAGATCAGGAGTTCAAGACCAGCCTGGTCAACATGGTGAAATCTTGTATCTACTAAAACTACAAAAAATTAGCCATATGTGGTGGTCCATCCTTGTAACCCAGCTACTTGGGAGGCTGAAGCAGGAGAATTGCTTGAACCTAGAAGGTGGAGGTTGCAGTGAGCCGAGATGGCCCCGCTGCACTCTAGCCTGGGGGACAGAGTGAGACTCTGTCTCAAAAAAAAAAAAAAAAAAGTAAAAATAGATAGATAAATAAAGTGAAATTCAATAATAGCAGGGTACTTCAACATCCTATTCTTAGTAAAGGACATATTATCCAGACAGAAATTGAACAAAGAAAGTTGTATTTAAACTGCACAGTAGACCAAATGAACTTAACTGACATTTACTAACATTGCATCCAACTGCTTCAGAATACACATTCTTCTCATAAGCAAATGGAACATTCTCTTGGACAGAGCACATGTTAGTCAAAAAACAAGTCTAACAAACTCGAAAAAGTTAAAATCATATCAAGTCTCACAACTCCAGTGGATTTAAACTAGAAATCAATTTCTACAGGGAAAAACTATGAAACACTAACAAAAGAAATTATAGAGGACAAAATAAAATGAAAAATATTCTATGCTCATAGATTGGAAGAATCAATATTGTATAAATGTTGATGCTATGGAAAGCAATTTACAGATTCAATGCAATCTCTGTCAAAATACAAGTGACATTCTTTGCAGAAATAATAAAAGCAATCCTAAAGTTTATGTGGAACCACAAAAGACACCAAATGGCCAAAATAGTCCTGAGCATAAAGAACAAAGCTAAAGATATCACACTATCTAAATTCAAAATGTACTATAAAACTATAGTAACCAAATCAGCATAGTACTGGCATGAAAACAGACACATAGACCAATGGAGCAGAATAGAGAATGCAGAAATAAATTGACTCATTTACAGCTAACTCATTTTCGCCAAAGCCACCAAGAACATAGATTGAGAAAAGGAGTCTCTTCAGTAAATGGTGCTGGGAGAACTAGATATCCGTATGTGGAAACCAGATCCCTATTTCTCACCATATACACAAATCAAATCAAAATAAATGAAACACTTAAACCTAAGACCTGAAACTATGAAATGACTAAAAGAACACATTGGGGAAACACTCCAAGGCATTGGTCTGAGCAAAGATTTTAAGTAAGGCCTCAAAAGCACAACAACAAAATCAAAAATAGACAAAAAAGATCATATCATGTTAAAAAAGTTTCTCCTCAAAAAAAAAAAAAAAGTCAACAAAGTGAATGACAATCCACAAAATAGGAAAAGTATTTACAGACTATTCAACTGACAAGGGACTAATAACCATAACATATAAGAGACTCAAACAGTTCAATAGCAAGGCAACAAATAATCCAACTGAAGAATGGCCAAAATATCTGAGTAGACATTTTTCAAAATAAGACATACAAATGGCCAAAGTATATTTTTTAAAAATGCTCAATGACACTAATCATCACAGAGATGCAAATCAAAACCATATCATTTCACCTCAGTTGAAATGGTTTTCCTCAAAAAGACAGGGAATAAGGTATGCTGGTGATGATGTGAAGAAGAGGGAACACTCATACACTGTTGTTGGGAATGTGCTATGGAAAATTGCATGAAGGTTTGTCAAAAAACTTGAAATAAAATTACCAAATGATTTAGCAATTCCATTAGTGGCTATATTTCCAAAAGTAAGGAAATCAGTATATCAAAAAGATATTTGCACTCCCATGTTTATTGCTACATTATTTACAATAGCCAAGATACAGAATCAACCTACTGTTCATCACAGATGAATGGATAAAAAAATGGTATATATACACAATAGAATATTATTCAGCAATAAAGAAAAATGAAATTCTGTCATTTGCAGCAATATGAATGGAACTGGAAGTCATTATGTTAAATGAAATAAGACAGGCAGAAAAGGACAAATATTGCATGTTCTTCATACGTAGGAGTTAAAATATGGATCTCATAAAGATAAATGCTGGAAGGGGTGGGAGGATAAAGAGAGGTTGATTAATGAGTACAAAAATACATTTAGAGAGAAAGAATAAGGCATATTGTTTGAGAGTTCGATAGGGTGATTACAGTTAACAATAATCTATGGTATTGTATATTTCAACTTAGCTAGAAAAGAGTAATTCAAATGTTACTAGCATAAGGAAAAGATACATGATATAGGGTAAGATAAAGGATATCTCAGTTACTCTGATTTTATCACTGCTTATATTATAATATGAATATATCAAAATATAACATTTATCCCCAAATATATACATCTACTATGCAGTAATAACTTTCAGTATTGAAAAAGAAAACATTCTTTTTAAAATAGAAAAAGATGTAAAAGATAGTATTGAAAGATAGTAAGAAAATATCAGGCCATACTCTTAATGAAGGCTGGAATCCAGAAATGTAAGTTGAATACAGCACAGACTTTTGAGTATACCCAAAGGAATATAAATCATGTTGCTATAAAGACACATGCACACGTATGTTTATTGCAGCACTATTCACAATAGCAAAGACTTGGGACCAACCCAAATGTCCAACAATGATAGACTGGATTAAGAAAATGTGGCACATATACACAATGGAATACTATGCAGCCATAAAAAATGATGAGTTCATGTCCTTTGTAGGGACATGGATGAAGCTGGAAACCATCATTCTCAGCAAACTATTGCAAGGACAAAAAAACAAACACTGCACGTTCTCACTCACAGGTGGGAATTGAACAATGAGAACACTTGGATACAGGAAGGGGAACATCACACACCAGGGGGCCTGTTGTGGGGTCAGGGGAGGTGGGAGGGATAGCATTAGGAGATATACCTAATGTAAATGACGAGTTAATGGGTGCAGCACACCAACATGGCACATGTATACATATGTAACAAACCCGCACATTGTGCACATGTACCCTAGAACTTAAAGTATAATAAAACAACAACAACAACAACAAAATATATATATATATATAAAGAAAGACACCTGCCAAACTTGAAATATTTGAGCTATGGTTTTTAAATATATTTTAGTTACATGGGGAAAAAGGAAAAGAATGGAACTTGCCCAAGTAGTATAAGATACATACAGATTAAAGTTGTATAAGACAAGCTATTAGGTTTATATAATTTCAAATGCTCCTCTGATATAATTCAAATCCCAGTGTCTACACCCTCAGTTTAATTATGAATCCAAAATAAATACGCCCTACTTACAATGCAGGGTAACAGAAAACATTGTTTTTATAATGAACATAAAATGAGGCAAAAATTTATACACGTTACATAAGTTTAATATAAACAAATAAATATGATTCCCTTGCATCATATTTGTGATTTGCAAAATTGTATCATCTTATGGTCAAAACAAAGAAAAACAAAGCTGCAAATTTAAATAAAAATTATTCCTGTTTGGCATTGCCACTAAGTGGCTAGCAGAAGCAAATACAAATGCCTTAATTAAATAACAGAAGTTTTCCAAGAAAAATAGTCAAATCATGTATAAAATGAAAGACAAAAACATGGGATCATAAGAAATAATCAAAAGAAATAACAGTGCAAAAATAGACCTGCATAATTTTTAATATTAGAATTATCAGGAGTTATGAATAAATTTGTCTGCTATGCTTTAAGAAATAAAATATACAAAAATTGTAAAAATTTATTAGAATATTAAAATCAAATTAAAGCCAAATAAAATGTCTAGAAAAAAAGTAACAATAACAAATAACATTACAAATAGCTTTTTAACAAGTATATAGACACTGCTGAAAAGAAAATTAGTGAACTGACAAATAAATCAAATGAAAATATTCCCAATGCAGGGCATAGATATATAATTTTAAAATAAGAAATAGTTATCAATACATATATTTGTTTTCTGTTGTGGCTATAATAAATTACTACAAATTTAGCAGCTTACAAAATACAAATTTGTTACCTTTTAGTTCTGTAGGTCTGAAGTCCACTACTGGTCTCACTAGACTAAAATCAAGATGTAGACAGACTGTATTCATTTCTGAAGGTTGTAAAAAAGAATACATTTTATGCTCATTTGAGTTTTGGAAGATTTCAGTTCCGTTTTTTTTTGTGTGGCTACAAATTAAAGGCCATTCACACATGCTAGATGCCACCCTATTCTCTGGCTCCTGGTCCCCTTCCTACTGTCTCAAAGACAATAATTGTGGTTAGTCTTTCTCAAGTTGCATTTCTTTGACACTTTCTTTTTGTTGTTGTCATTTTCTTTCACTTTTAGGGACTAATATAATTAAATTGGACTCCCCTCGATAACTCAGGATAATCTTTTCATCTCAAGGTTCTTAATCTTAATTGTATCTACAAAGTCCCCTTTCCATGAGAGGTAACTTATTTAGAGGTTCTGGGGATTCGAATATGGGCATTATTGGGTAATTATTAGTTTGCTATTGCAGCATTAAAAAAAATAGAATTAGAAAGTAGCACATATGTCTAACCAGCATTTTAGAAAAAGGAGAGAAAATATAAAACCAAAAATATGTGAAGATATAATTGTTGGAAATTTTTTTCAAAATAATAAAATCAACTAATGCACAAAAAGCTCAGGAAATTTCAAGCAGGATAAATAAATAGAAATTGTCACATGGTCACAGCTAGAATACCAAAGCACACAGAAACATTTTTCGTTTGTTTTAAAGGAGCCAGAGAAAAAAATTGTGATTACCATCAAATTATTAACACTTGCATTGATAATTGACTTACATATACAAATAATAGAAGTGAGAAGTTGGTGTTGCTATATCTTCAATATACTGACATAAAATTACTGCTGAACTATATTTACACACACATCTAATGGATTCAAAAAGTTTTCATATGCAGAGCAATTATATATATAAAATATTTGTATTCACAACAACAAAATTTCAGCCTTTCCCCAAGAATTCTTCAGGTTTATATGGCTTCACTGGTGAATTTTAAATGATATTTAAGAAATAATACCAATCAATAATATCAATCTGACATCAAATCTCTCAGAAAATGCAGGAAGAAAGTAACTCTCAATTTGTTTTATGAAGCTTATATACTCCTGATACTAAAATGTGACAACTCCCTTACAGGAAAAGAAAAATACTACAAATCAATATTATTCATTCACAAGAATACAAACATTATTTAAAAGTATCAGTAAATTGAATCCAGCAATGTATAATAAGAAAAATCATCAATACCCATTGAGATGTATCACAGAAACACATTTTAAAACCTACAATGATATATCACGTTATAAAGAAGAAAAATTATGTCTCTTCTTAATAGGTACTGAAAGAGTTTTGGGCAACATTTAATACATTTTATAATAGGAATTCATAGAAAACTATGACTCAGAAAGGAACTTTCTGTTTCTGACAAAAGACATTTATTAAAAAAAAAAAAGTCTATAGCTAACACCAAAATTAAAGGTAAAATATTGAACACTTCCCACTAAGATAGGAAATACGGCAAAGATGTCCTATCAAATTATTTAACATTGTATTGGACATTCTAGCCAGAGCATCACTGTAAGAAAAATAAATAAGAACCATAAATATTGTAAAAGAAAACTAAAATACCTTTATTATGAGATGACAAGAGTAATTTTTTTAGAAAATTCAAAATAATCTACAACCAACAGGTAGAACTAATGAGTGAATTCACCAATATTGTAAAATTACAAATATAGAAAAAATAATTATAACTCTACATACCAGAAACAAACAATTGAAAAATAAAGGAATAAATGTTATTATTTATAAAAGTGTAAAAAACAAAATACTTAGGAATCAGTTTAAGAAAAGATGTGCAAGACTTGTAACCTGAAAATAACAAAATATTTTTGTATAAATTAAAATACTAAATCAATAAAGAGACATTGCATGTTCGTGGATTAGAAGATTCAATTTTATCAGCAGCTCATTTTTTTTCTAAAAGGATTCAAAGCAATCCTACTCAAAATCCCACTGACTTTCTATTACAAACTTGACAAAGTGATTTTTAAATTTACATAGAAATACGAAGAACTTGTAGAGCCAATATCCTCCAAGCAATGACTCAGTAGTTCAGTAAGCAATGATCTTTTGACCAGATCTTCAAAAGAAGCATGTTCTTCCATAGTTGTGACAGGAGGCCAAGATAGGTGGATCACTTGAACACAGGAATTCAAGACCTACCTAGGCAATGTAGCGAAACCTCGTCTCTACTAAGAATAAAAATAAAAATAATTAGCTGGACATGGTGCCACGTGTCTGTAGTCCCAGCTACTTGAGGGGCTGAGATGGGAGGATCGCTTAAACTCGGGAGGTCAGGGCTGCAGTGAGCTGTGATCGCACCACTGCACTCCAGCCTGGGTGACAAAGTGAGATGCTGTTTCAGACAAACAAACAAAAAACTATTAGAGCTAACAAACAAGTTCATCCGTATTGTAGGATCCAAGATTATTATCAGAAATCAACTGTATTTCTTTACATTAACAATAAACAATCTGAAAGTGAAATTAAGAAAACAATTTCATTTACAATGGCTTAAAAATAAAATTCTTAATATTAAATTTAACAAAAAAAGTGTGTAAGTCTTGTACACTGAAAACTGCAAAACATTGTTGAGCAGAATTAAAGAACTAAATAAATGTAATGCCAGTCTATGTTCCTGGATTAAAAGATTTAATATTTATCTACAGGTTTATCATTATTTATATGAAATCCTCCCACTTTAAAAAAAAAAAATCTTAAAAGGGGCCAGACACAGTGCCTCATGCCTGTAATCCCAACAATTTGGGAGGCCCAGGCAGGCAAATCTCTTGAGGCCAGGAGCTCCAGACCAGCCTGGCCAACATGGCAAAATCCAGTCTGTACTAAAAATACAAATATTAGCTGGGCCTGGTGGCACAGGCCTGTAATCTCAGCTACTCGGGAGACTGAGGCATGCGAATGGCTTGAGCCCAGGACATGGAGGTTGCAGTGAGCCAACAAGATTGTGCCACTGCATCCCAGCTTGGGGGACAAACAAGACTCTGTCTCAAAAAAAAAAAAAAAAAAAAAACTTAAAAGACAGTGTAGGCATAACACTCCCTGACCATGGATTAGGCAATGATTTCTTAAATATGACACCCCAAAAAGAGCAATAAAATAAAAAAATAGATAAATTATACTTTATCAAAATTATACTCTTTTGTGCTTCAAAAGATGCTATCAAAAAAGTGAAAAACCCATAAAATGGGAGAATATATTTGCAAATTCTGTATTTGATATTGAACTAGTATCTAGAAAATATAAATAACTCTTAAACTTAATAAAAAGACAATTATAAATGGTCTTTATAATTAAAGACCAAATATAATTTATAAATAAAGACATTTCTTCAGAGAAGACCACTAAGCACATTTTTTAAATGCTCAACATCATCAACTATCATGTAAATGCAAATCAAAATCACAATGAAATAATACTTCACTCTCCTAAAATGGTTATAATCAAGAAGACAGAAAGTAATAAATGTTGGTGAGGATATGGAGAAATTGCAATCTTCAAAACTTTGTTGGAAAGTGATATAGCCAGTTTGGAAAACTTTGGCAGTTCCTACACAAGGTAAGCACAGCTTTATCATGACTCAGTAACTCCACATTTAGATACATGCCCAAGAAAATGCAAATATACGTCCCAATAAAAACACACAGAAATGTTGACAGCAGCATTATTTATAATAGTGAAGAAAATTGCAACAACTCAAATGTCCATCAAATAAATGGATAAACAAATGTGATATATCCAATCAATCGAATATTTGGCAATAAAGAGGAATAAAGTGCTGATTCAAGTCACAACATGGGTGAATTTTGAGACTGTGATGCTAAATTAAAGAAGTCAAACCACAAGGCCACAAATTGCATGATTCCATTTACATAAAGTGTTCAGAATAGACAAATCCATAGAGACAGAGTGGATAAGTGTCAGATCTGGGATTAGGTAGAGTGAGGAGGCGATTAGTTGTGACTGAATGGATATGGAGTTTCTTTTTGGGGGATTAAAATATTTTGGAATTAGACAGTGGTAATGGTTGCACTACTTCTTTGTGAATATACTAAAGAATGCTTAAGTGTACACTTTAAAAGGATTAATTTTATGTCTGTTGCTTAAAAGAATAAAGCAATGAATTGAGGTAAATCTTTACTCCATAATAGCATAAATGAATGAACCACAGCCACACAAACAGTGTGGAAGAATGGCCAGACATAATGTTGATTAAAAGAAATGATTACAAACAAAAAGACTGTAAAAATGATTATATAAAAATATGGTTTGGTAGGAGACAGTGGGATGTAATAGGAGGTCCCCTGAAACCAGAGATCGTTCTTGAATATCTGAAAATACAGCCTAAAGTCCTTCAAGGTCTTTTCAATGCTATACATATGATAGAAACACAGGGCAGATGAAGTTCTCTAAGGTAATGACAATGTTAACTTTTATCTTGTGAGGTAGTTACACAATTCTTTACTTATAATTGTTCATTAAATTGTGCATAGTTGTATAAACATCAGTATTTTGCTGTATTTCACAATAAAATTTCATAAAAATGAATGAGCGGCTGCATGAATCAATAAACACATAATATAATAAATGTACAGTGGGCTAGTCAAGCATATGAATTTTATTTTCTTTTTCTGAACAAAATTTCAAAAGTGAAAGCCATGTCACAAGCTTTTTGCACTCCCCCATTGCTTCCAGGTTCGATTAGAATACAATATGTATTAAGGAGAGATGGAGTGCTACATGTTTAATAACTGGTTCTCCATGCAGTGAAGAAAAAGACCTCATTTGCAACATTGGCCAATCCTGTTGGGTAAATAATTCTACCATGTATAGAATATTCATGATATATAGAACATATTCAATAAACATTATTTGTGTATGTTAAGCATCAAATATCTCATATTTAGAGAGCGAAAGCCAACAAGAAAAATCAGTGCTTGCAGTTAGTTCTACCTATAAAGTATTTTATCAATAACTTTAGAAGCACATTTTGCATATCAAAATCAATAGATTAGCCATCACTCTTAGTGTCTGCATGATGTCACCAAGTACAAGTCAATCATTAATTTTAGTCCAAATTGGATATTTTCTACCCATCTATAGCAACTCAGAAGAAGAAAATGATCTCATATGTACTAAGTCTATGTCTTGAGATGTCTGGATTCTGTCACTTCTTACTTGCTTCTCAGACTGCCACAATAAGTACCACAGGCTGGATGCCTTCAACAACATCAATTTATTTTCTCACAGCTTTGGAGGCCAGAAGTCCAAGATTAAGGTACTGGCAAATTCAGTTTCTGGTGAGGTCTTTCTTTCTGGCTTGCAGATAGTCACGTGTGTGTGTGTGTGTGTGTGTGTGTGTGTGTGTGTGTGTCTTCACAAAGCCTTTCCTCTGTAGTTGGGGAGAGGGAGATGTCTGGTGTAACTTCCTCTTCTTATAAGAACACCAGTCCTATCAAGTAGGGATCTACCTTTATGATTTCATTTAACATTAATTCTCTCCCCCAAAGCCTTATGTCCAAGTACAGTCACACGGGGGCTTAGGGCTTCAACATAAGAATTTTAAGGATTAAGATTCAGTCTGTAATACTTGCATAGTAAATTTCCCATAGAAAGATACATGCTCTCAAAGATATCAGTGATGATGTGTGTTATTGTGCAAATACTCAAGAGTGAGGTTTGAGTATTTGAAGCACAGTTAGGCAATACATAAAATGTGTTTTTGCCCTAGTATAAATGTTTAATGTTTAAAGTAGTCTTAAGTGCCATATAGATATTTCTTTATAGAATTATTTTTATTTTTCCTCTGGAAATCGCAGAAAAAAATTTAATTTAGACAAAACAAAATAAGACATTTTCTGAGGTCTTCGAAAAATTTAAAAATGCTTCATAATGTGACATTAAGTATAAAATTCAAAAGCAAAGAGGTTAAATTTTAAATATGTTTTTCATTAAAAGCCTCAGAAAATATATTCTTTAAATTATTAATGAACAAATTAACCTATTATCATCTAGAAGGTGAAAAGCCCTCAACAGTACTAAGGGATTGTTTTTCTTAGTAATAAAATTCTTGTCTCCTAAATAAAAATTTAAGGGACAGATAATCACCATTCTGAAATACTAAACAGAAATTTTAATGCATTAATCTATTAAATAGAAACATGGAGACATGATGGCCCAATGCCCTATAGAAATGCCTTGGTTCTATGAATTGGTTTATTTTCTTTACAGCCCAAGATAATGTACTATTTTTTTCAAATGGTTGTTTGGATCAGTGATCCAAATCTCCATATTTTAAAGTATAGATCTTTAGCAGAGTATGTAATCCCAAATTAAATTTAAAAATTAAAGAAAAAATCAGCTTTAATATATTTTCAGTATCTAACTCTGACATCCCACTACTCCCTGGAAGCCAAAAGGTAATCACATTTTCCCTAGATGAGTGAAGTACTGTCAAATCAGATCAACTACCTTTAAGTGAGCCGAAACCACCAAGATTAAATGAAAACACGATTTCATTATTCATCACAACTTGGGAACGTGGCTAAAATCACTTGTTTGGTCTTGAATGGACAGTGGGCTGCCACATTATTTATCTGAGCCACCTGATTTTTCGCTTTTCATCCAAACTGTTTGGTGTTGTGCAGAAAAACCTATCCCACTCAGGTACAGACCAATCTACTGAAGCTGTAAGCTAGCTTTTATAAATTTAAACAGGTAAATTGATTGATTCAAGTAGGAAAAGAAAAGTCAATTTAGGGTTCAAGTTATCTGCCCTGGATGATCCGAATAAGAGGATAATAGCCACATCGTCATTTCACACAGAGTAATAGGAACAAAGCTAGTGTATAGGATTTCACTGCCCAAAGTGGGGATTTAAAATCACCTGAGTAATTTATAGTGTTGATATTCTGTCTGAACAACAGAAACCAAACAAGATTACGTAGTATGTCTTTTGCTCACCTGAAGTGCCTCAATTGGTGTAGTTATACACATCTGGGAGATTTGAAGTAAAATTAATTTATACTTGTAGAATTTTATGTCAAGAATGCCGTTCTTGCTACATCCCATTCCCCTTTTCCAGTCAGTGCACCCATTTTCCCAGAAACTGGGAGTCTTGGTCAACAATGGCTTGCAACTGCTGCCTTCTGTAGAAAAGTGTTGTAGCCAAACTGGAGTCATTTCCCCTGGAAGCTATGGCTTTCTAACCCATCTCCTAACCACCTTGACCAGTGGCTGCCTGTTAAGAGGTTATAAGACACATTTCTTTACCTCAGGATGGACTACCTCTGTGGTACGTTTTGTGCTCCAGAGCTTTTCTCTGAGATCAGACTGCAGCTGGTTCTTCAGTGGGGACACGAATTTAAGTTAGCGTTTCTACTATACCCTATCATACTTCCTATATTTCTGTTGATCGAGAGCACTCCCCCAATTTATCATTTGGAGATGATCTCACATCCTGGGCTCTGCTTTTGGATAAACTGATGTAAAATAGGTGGTAATAGAAGTCATCATAGGAAGCAGCCTTTTAAGAATGTAGGTCTTTAGTCAGATTATTCACCACCTGGGTGGTAAAGAGGACCACCGCCCCCCCATTACTGTGGTAGATAGATATATTGATAGCATCTGGCATGTTATACTGCTGATATTGCTAAAACTTTCAAACGTGATAAACTGGGAAGAGATACAGGTGAAAAGAAAAGCACTAGTTAATGCAATATCTTGGGTATTTCACAGATCTAGGGGATATAACAACTGTAATGACTATGGCATTGACTGTTGCTGAATACCGTTGATGTCTTTAAAAGAGAAAATGTAGTTTAAATCTGTTCAACTATTTAAAGCAACATGTATGAGTTATTGTCTTCTTTGCAATACTTAAAGAGAGTCTTATCTCCTGCCTTTGAAGGCCAGATGCACCTAAATATCAATCACAAAACTTAATTCTAAGTGTGCCAAAACTTTAGAGAATGCAGAATTCATATGGCGATCAAATCTTCTATGCCAAAATAAGAACTCTGATAGAAATGAAGTGGAATTCTGAGACATGAGATGGGGATTACAGGATGTATCCCAGGCATTTAATTATGAGATGCTAATTTGGCATAATTACTATAAAAAGGGTTGAAATGTGAGCTCAGGAGAAGTCAATCAGAGGAGAAAACAATGTGATGATGGAAGCAACATCTGCAGTGATTCACTCTGAAGATAGAGGGAGGAACCACAAGCCACACTGGCCACTAGAATCTGTAAAAGACAAGGAAACAGATTTCTTTCCTAGAACCTCCAGAAAGAAGCAGACCTCATGTCAGTTTAATTTTATCCCAGTGAAACATATTACGTACTTCTGACCTCCAAAACTGTAAGATAACAAATTTGCATTGCTTTAGGCCTCTAATTGTGTTGTCACTTGCTACAGCAGCAACAGGAATCTAATATGGGTAACATGGAATCCTAGCCTAGGTTTTTCTTATTTTGGGTATACTGGCTCCATGGCCTCAACTAGTAGTCATTTATATTTGCCTTCAAATTTTTATTTCTATTTCCTAATTTATATTTGGTATGGACATACTTACCAGTGAGCAGAACCCTCACATTAGTCCCTTGGCTTGTTAAATATAAAATATAATGGTAAAAAAGGCTAAGTGGTATCAAGTAAAAACTCATTACCATTACCACCAATGAAGAACATAAAATACTCCCTCAATATCCACTGGGGGTAGTTTCTAGAACCCCTGATGGATACCAGAAGTCGTGAATAATTGAATCCTTTATATAAAATGGCATAATATTTTCATATCACCTATGCACATCCTTGTGTATATTTTAGATCATCTCTAAATTAGTTATAATACATAATACAATGTAAATACTATGTAAAGAGTTATAGCCACTTATTTTTATTTTTTATTATTGTATTGATATTTTTATTGTTTTTTCTTTTAAAAAATTTTCAAGTTGAGGTTGATTGAATCCATGAATGCAGAAGCCAGGGATATGGAGGGCCAACTGTGTATGTCAAAACTAGTATTGCATTTTGGAGGATATGGTAGAGATGCAATTCTCAAAGAATTATAAGAAGCAGAGATGGTGTTCTCCATCATATTCCCCATTCTATTAACCTGTCTGACTCCTACAAAATTGTATTAATCCTAATAAATGACAGTGGTCTACTGCAAACTTTAACCAAGTAGCGATGCCAATTGGAGCTATTACACAAGATGTAGTATTTTTGAAAGAGTGAAACAACCCAAACTCAAATATGTTAAAGGAATATGTGACTATTAATCTGGTGAATGCATTCTTTTCTATACCCATCAGGATCAAAAGTAGTTTGTGTTCATACGGGATGAACTACAATACACATTCACTGTCTGGTCCCATGGATATAATAATTCTCCCTTTCTTTGCTGTAGTATAGTCAGAAGAGACTTGGACCATTGGGATATTCTAAAAAATAAATCACATTTTCCCCTTTGTTGATGGTATCTTATAAGTCAATTTTGATGAATAAAAGCAGAAAGTTTTCTGGATTCCTTGGTAAAACACATGCACCCCATTGAATGGGAAATAAAACTATAGAGTTTCTGACCCTACCACATTAATAGAGTTTTTAGGGGTGGTCTAGTGTTCCGGAATATACCAGAAAATTAGAAGACATTTTATTGCACCTTGCAACACCTATCACTAAGAAAGTCCCCTGGGTTTTGGAGGCGTCATATCCTCTACTTGCAACTACCATTCAGATAAATTTGTTGGATGATGTGTATGACTCCTAGTTTTGAGTAACATCCAGAACAAGAAAGAACTCTAAAGTAGGTTCAGACTGCAGTAGAAGCAAGCCTGATTGGCCCATATCACTTGCAGAATCCCAAGATATTAGAGATAACTGTGTTAGAGAAACACAGTTTGCTTCTGCCAAACCCCAGTAAAAGTTACAGTGCAGAACTCTAAAGTTCTATAGCATGGTGAAACTGTTCTTATCAGAGACTATAGGTTATTCAAACAACCAGCATGTTACTGAGATCAGATATGTATGGAGCATTTTATAATGTAATACCGTACGGTCATGGAACAAGAACTGTTCTGAATCAGCTAAATACCATTATATGCACCAAGATTCAGCAGCAATCTGTTCTAAAATAGAAGTAGAAAATTTGAGATTCACCTGAATAGATACAGTAGGCACAATATGCTACATAAACATGGGACTCTCATAGATTCCACGTCACCTTTTCCTATTGCATATATCTCTCTTCTTCCATTCAGAACAATGGCCTCATGGAGGATTCACTAGGATTAGCTACCAGAGGAAAAAAAATCTGTGTTTAGTTAAGACACATATCTGCTTTGTATGTAAACACAATATAAAAATGGAAGACCTGATTGCCTAACAACCATATTCAGAGATAACCCAGAAAGGTAGTAGTGAGAAGAAATTAAAATTATTCTCCCACTAAGCATTGGCAGAACATCTTGTCATTCTCTTTGTATGAAGAGAGAAGCAGCCCATAATATGAAAAGAGACTTCCCTTTTCTGGCTAGCAATGTACTTTTCTTTTGCTACATCTCAGCCTTTTGATGACTGACAATAGGGTTAATAAGACAGGCCTCCTCGCTTTAAGATGAGACTAAATCTATGATGAAATTTATGCTCCAGATAGTCCTGTGAGGTCACCCAGAAACTGATCTCTGAGACCATACCCTAGCTTTTCCCCCTATCTTATCTTGCTCCCCACATTTTCCTTTTGAAACCACATAAACAGAAATTTCTTTTCTCAGGCTCTGCTTCCAGAGAACCCAATCAAGACATTATAATTCTGAAACACATTGATGATGGCATTTATTATGTGATTATAAAACTCTCCCCTTACTACTTGTAAAAAATCTACTACCTATAACAATAAAAGCACAATAACATTGAGTAATATATATACATCAATATTATAACTAGACTTAACTATAATATAAATAATATATTATAATTAGTAGTTATAATCTTATATAAATAATCTAAAAAAATGCTGTCCATTCTGTCTTTTGCAGTTTAGAGAAAATGCTTCAACATCCTATTTCTCTTATGGCTTTCTACAACCCCAAAGTGATTCAAAAATTAAAATGGTAGAGCCAGAGAACTGATATTTCAGTAAGATCTCAATATATTTTTCTAAATGGAAAACATCAACATTTAAAAAGTCAAATAAGTTTGTCTGGTATCTCTTACTTTCTGTGTGAACCGCCTAGTTGGCAAATAAACACAAATTAGGAAAAATGAAGATAAAATCAAGTGTGAAAGTTCTTTATAAAGAATTGATGACTATGCTTACATCAAATCTACTTTACTAAAATAACCTTAATGAAACCAGTCATTTTTTTTTGACTCCACAATGTGCAAAACTGTATGAGGAGGTGAGCCCGAAAATTAATTCATTTTCATATACCAAGTATTTTATTCACACAAGGGTACAAATGTAAATTAAATCATATAAATAATAACAATCAGTGTTTTGTAAATCAGTTCACTTTCTACTCAGTGTTTTGTAAATCTTCAGCCTAAGAAGAAGAAAATAAGTAAGTTTTCATTTTAAAAAATATTTCCAGTGAAAGAAAATATGCTTCACTGCCTTATTTTGAGTTGGATGAATGAGCAACACCACTGGAATATCAAAGGCCTACAAATAAATGGATAACAGCAACTAACCCTATATTTATTTGTGGCTTTTGACACATAATAAAGACCTTATGTTTTCCCATTCCAATAAATATGGATGTTCAAAATTATCAGAGATTAACCAGTTACTTTGTCAAAGATCACTCTAGAAATAATGTCTATCCTTAACCTTTGGCTCTCTCGCTTCTGCATTCAGTACATTATTCAAACTCTATTCTCAAAATCACTGACACCTTTCTAATCACCAAATTCCATGAATCTTCCAGAGAGCTAAAATTTTAGAGTACATTAAATTGAAATATTTCTTTGTGTTTACACTACCAATAATATCTAATAAATACTAAGACTGTACATATAAACTTCCCCAACTACTAATATCTTCTGTACATGTCAGAATGAATGATATAGCCAAAAGATACCTATAAATAAGTGTATCATCTTTAATATCTAAATACAAAAGAAAAACGCGATTTTTTTAAGGTCTCAGGAGAAGTTAACATCTGTTTTCTTTGAGGATCAGGTATTTTAAATTTTTTTTATTAGTTTTCTCTTTGCTTGTTGTTTCTTTTTTTATGCAATCAATGTTAGGTTGTCATCAGTTTAAAATAAAGAATTGTAAGATAGTACTTGGAAGCCTCATAGTACCAATAGAAAATCATACAACAACACAAAAAATAAAAAGCAAGAAGTTAAAAATACAACCAGAGAAATCACCTTACTAAAAGGAAGACAGGAAGGAAGGAAAGAAGGACAAAAAGACCACAAAACAACCAGAAAGCAGATAACAAAATGGCAGGCCTAAGTCTTTACTTATTAATAATAACATTGAATGAAAATAGACAAAACTGTCCAATCAAAAGACATAGAGTGGGCTGGGTGCAGTGGCTCACACCTGTAATCCCAGCATTTTGGGAGGCCGAGGCAGGTGCATCACCTGAGGTCAGGAGTTCATGACCAGCCTTGTCAATATGGTGAAACCATTTATCTACTAAAAGTACAAAAATTAGCTGGGCATGGTGATGCTCACCTGTAGTCCTAGCTACTTTTGGAGGCTGAAGCAGGAGAATCACTTGGACCAGGGAGGCAAAGGTTTGCAGTGAGCCAAGATCATACCACTGGACTCCAGCCTGGATGACAGAGTGAGACTCTGTCTGCAAAAACAAAACAAACAAACAAACAAACAGAAAGGACATAGAGTAGCTGAATGGATAAAAATAAAAAACAAGACCCATTGCTCTTTTGCCTACAAGAAAATACTTCACCTATAAAGATACCCAGAGACTGAAAATAAAGGGATGTAAAAAGATATTCCATGCAAATAAAAACCAAAAGAAAAGAGGAAGAATAGCTACAATTATATCAGTAAAATATATTTCAGGGGAAAAAATCTATAAAAAGAGAGAGTGTCATTATATAATGATAAAGAAATCAATTCATTCAGCAATAGGATATAACAATTGTGAATATGTGTGTACCCAACATTGGAGCACTCAAATATATAAAGCAAATATTATTAGAGTTAAAGAAAGAGATAGACCCCAATAAAATAATAGCTGGAGAACTCAACAGCCACTTCAAGCATTGGAGAGTGTTGCAGGAAATCAGGGAACCCAAACGGAGGGACCTGCTGAAGCCGTGACAGAAGAAAATAAATTGTGAAGATTTCATGGACATTTGTTTGTTCCCCAAATTAATACTTTTATAATTTCTTACACCTGTCTTTACTGCAATCTCTGAACATAAATTGTGAAGATTTCATGGACATTTATCACTTCCCCAATCAATACCCTTATAATTTCCTATGCCTGTCTTTACTTTAATCTCTTAATCCCATCATCTTCATAAACTGAGGATGTATGCCGCCTCAGGACCCTGTGATGATTGTGTTAACTGCACAAGTTGTTCGGAAAGCACCTGTGTTTGAACAATATGAAATCTGGGCACCTTGAAAAAAGAACAAGATAACAGAGATGTTCAGGGGACAAGGGAGATAACCATTAGGTCTGATTGCCTGGGAGCCAGGCAGCACAGAGCCATATTTCTCTTATTACCGAAGATGGGTAAGAGAAATATCGCTGAATTCTTTCCCCAGTAAAGAATATTAATAATTAAGAGCGCTGGGAAAAGAATGCATTCCCGGGGGGGCCTCTAAAATGGCCGATCTGGGGGTGTTTGCCTTATGCAGTTGCAGATAAGGGATGAAACACGCCCTGGCCTCCTGCAGCACCCCCAGGCTTATTAGGATTAGGAAATTCCTGCCTAGTAAATTTTAGTCAGACCAGTTGTCTGCTCTCAAACCCTGTTTCCTGATGTTCATCAATGACAATGCGTGCACAGCAGGACAGGGAACCTCATTATTAATTCTAGTTTCTCCCTGGCCTTGTGAACTTGCCCTGACCATTTGCCTTGTGATATTTTGTTGCCCTTAAAGTATGTGATCTCTCTGACCCACACGCTATTCATATACTCCCTCCCTTTTGAAAATTGCTAATAAAAACTTGCTGGCTTTGAGGCTCAGGAGGCATCACAGAACCTGCTGACATGTGATGTCTCCCCTGGACACCCAGCTTTAAAATTTCTCTCTTTTATACTTTTTCCCTTTATTTCTTAGACCAGCCGACACTTAGGGAAAATAGAAAAGAATCTATGTTGAAATATCAGGGGCAGGTTCCCCCGATAGGAGAGATCATCCAGAGAGAAAATAAAGAAACATCATACTTACTCTGCGTTGTAGACCAAATGGATCTAACCAGTATTTATAGAACATTTCATCCAATGGCTGCAAAATACACATTCTTCTCTTCAGCACGTGGATCATTCTTAAGGACAGACCATTTTTTAAGACAAAACGAGTCTTAAAAAATTCAAAACAAATGAAATTCTATCTATCTTCTCTTAACGCAATGGAATAAAACTATAAATCAATAACAAGAGGGATTTTGGAAGCATTAGAAACACATAGAAATTTAATAATATGCTCCTGAATAAACAGTGGGTCAATGAAGAAATTGAGAAGGAAATTTAAAAATTTCCCAAAGCAAATGATAATGTAAATACAATATATTAAAACCTATGGGATACAGTGAAAGCAGTAGTAAGAGGAAAGTTTATAGCTATAAACACCTATAGAAAAAAGTAGAAAAACTTCAAATAAATAACCTAATAATTCATTTTAAGAATCTAGAAAAGCAAGAGAAAATCATACCCAAAATTTGTAGAAGAAAAGAAATAATAAAGATCAAAGCAGAAATAAATGAAATTGAAACAAATATAAAAACACAAAATACAAAATCAAATAAAAAGTTGGGGACCAGGAAGGTGGCTCACACAAGTAATCTCAACAATTTGCAAGCTAAGATGGGAGGATTGCTTCAGCTCCAGAGTTCAAAGCCAAACTGGGCAACAAAGATAGCCTCTGTCTCTACCAAAATTTAAAAAAAAATAGCCATACATTGTGGGATGCACCTATAGTCCCAGCTATTTGGAAGACTGAGGTAAAATAATCACTTGAGCCCAGGAGGTCAAGGCTGAAGCAAGCTGTAGTCACATCACTGCACACAGCCTGGGTGACAGAAAGAAACACTGTCTTAAAAAAAAAAGAAAAGTTCATTCTTCTGAAAACATAAGCAAAATTGACAAACCTTTAGCCAGATTAAGAAAACAAGAGAGAAGAACCAAATAAACAGAATTAAAGATAAAAAGGAGACATCATGACCAACACTGCAGAAATTCAAACAATCTTTAGTGGCTACTATTAGCAACTATATGCCAATAAGTGGAGAAAAATCTTAGACATATGCAACCTACCAAAATTGCACCATGAAGAAATCCACAACCTAAACAGAGCAATGAAAAGTAACAAGGTCAAAGCCGTAAATAAAGTCTCCCCACAAAGAAAAGCCTCTCTGCTTTTCACTGCTAAATTTTACCAAACATTTAAAGAACTAATACCAATCCTACTCAAACTATCCTGAAAAATAGAGGAGGAAACAATATTTCCAAACTCATTCTACAAGGCTGGTATTTGCCCTGATACCAAAACCAGACAAAGACCCATTAAAAAAAAAAAAAAGAGGAACCTATAGGCCAATATCCTTGATAAGCATTGATACAAAATTTCTCAGCAAAATTCTAGCAAAACAAATTCAGCATCACATTATAAAGATTATTCTTCCTGACCAGGTGGGATTTATGCCAGTGATGTAAGGATGGTTCAACATATACAAATCAATGTAATACATCATATCAACAAAATGAAGAACAAAAACCGTATGATAATTCAATTGATATTGGAAAAGCATGTGATTGAATTCAATATCTCTTCATAATAAAAAACATCAAAAAACTGAGTATAAAAGGAACATCCCTAGACACAATAAAATGTGTTTATATATGACAGACCCACAAATAGCATCATATTGCATGGGAAAAAAACAAAAGCCTCCTTTCCTCTAAGATCTGGAACACAGATAAGAATGCACACTTTCACCACTGTTATTTGACATAGTACTGGGAGTCCTAACTAGAGCAATTATACAAGAGAAAGAAATAAAATATATTCAAATTGGAAAGGAAGAAGTCAAATAATTTTTGTCTGCAGATGATATAATCTTATATTTGAAAAAAATAAAGACTTCGCAAGAAAACTGTTAGAACTGATAAATTAAGCAAAGTTGCAGGATACAATATCAACATATAAAAATCAGTAGCATGTCTCTATGCCAACAGCAAACAATCTGAGAAAGAAATCAAAAAAGTAATCCCATTTACAATAGCTTCAAATAAAATGAAACACCTAGGGATAAACTTAACCCAAGAAGTGAAAGATTTCTACAATTAAAACTATAAAGCATTGATGCAAAATATTGAAGAAGATCCCAAAAAATGGAAAGATTGTCTGTGTTCATGGATGGGAAGAATCAATATTATTAAAATGTCCATACTACTCAAATTAATCTACAGATTCAATGTAATTCCTATCAAAAATATCAATGACATTTTTCAAAGAAATACAAAAACCATCCTAAAATTTATATAGAACCACAAAAGACTCAGAATAGCCAAAGCTACCCTGAACAAAAAGAGCAAAACTAGAGGAATCACATTACCTGACTTTAAATTATGCTATAGAGCTATAGTAACCAAACCAGTGTGGTACTGGCATAAAAACCGACAAGTAGACCAATGGAGCAGGTCCATACACCTACAGTGAGCTCATTTTTGACAATGGTGCCAAGAACATACATCAGGGAAAGGACAGTCTCCTCAATAAGTGGTGTTGGTAAAAATAGATATGCAGAAGAATGAAAATAGACCTCTATCTCTCACCATATACAATAATCAAATCAAAATGGATTACATACTTAAATCTAAGACCTCAAACTGTGAAACTACTATAAGAAAACATTTGGGAAAGTCTCCAGGACATTGGACTGGGCAAAGATTTCTTGAATAAGACCCCACAGGCATAGGTAACCAAAGCAAAAATGGACAAACAAGATCATATCAAGTTAAAAAGCTTCTTCATCACAAAATAAATAATCAACAAAGTGAACAGGCCACCCACAGAATGGCAGAAAAATTTTGGAAACTATCCATCTGACAAGGGATTAATAACCAGAATATACAAGGTGTTCAAACAACTCTATATAAAAAATCTAATAATCCAATTAAAAATGGGCAAAATATTTGAATAGACATTTCTCAAAAGAAGATGTAAAAATGGCAAACGAGTATATGAAAAGGTTCTCAACATCACTGATCACTAGAGAAATGCAAATTTAAATTTGCATTTAAAATGGTTTTTATCCAAAAGACAGGCAATAACAAATGCTGGAGAGGATGTAGAGAAAATGGAACCCTCATACACTGTTGGTGAGAAAGTAAATTGGTACAACTGCTATAGAGAACAGTTTGGAAGTTCCTTCAAAAACTAAAAATAGAACTACCATGTGATCCAGCAATCCCACCGCTGGGTGTATACCCAAAAGAAAGAAAATTAGTATATTAAAGAGCTAACTGCACTCCCATGTTTATTGCAGCACAATTCACAACAGCTAAGATTTGGAAGCAAACTAAGTATCTACCAACAGATATATGGATAAAGAAAATGTGGTACTTATAAACAATGGAGACCTATTCAGCCATTTAAAAAATTAGATGCTGTCATTTGTAACAACATGGATGGAATTGGGGTCATTATGTTAAGTGAAATACACCAGGCACAGAAAAACAAACTTCACATGTTTTCAACTTTGTGGGAGCTAAAAATTAAAACAATCTCATGCAGATAGAGAAAGAATGATGGTTACCAGAGACTCGGGAGAGTAGTGGGGTACGGATGGAAGTGGGGATGGTACAAAAATATAGTTAGATAGAATGAATAAGATTTAGTATTTGATAGCACAACAGGGTGACTACAGTCAAGAATAATTTATTATACATTTAAAAGTAACCAAAAGAGTATACTTGGGTTTTTGTAACACAAAGGATAAATGCTTGAGGTGTAAATTGGATACACCATTTATTCTGATGTAATTATTATCCATTGTTTGCCTGCATCATATACCTCATGTACCCCATCAAATATACCCACAATTTTTTTTTAAATTTTTAAATTAAAATTTTTCATTGACATATGGTTTGGCGCTGTGTACCCACCCAAATCTCACCTTGAATTGTAATAACCCCACATCATGGGAGGGACCCAATGGGAGGTAATTGAATCATGGGCATGGGTTTCTTCCCTTGCTGCTCTTATGATAGTGAATAAGTCACGAGATCTGATAGTTTTTATAAGGGGGAGTTCCCCTACATAAGCCCTCTTGCCTGCCACCATGTAAGATGTCCCTTTGCTCTTCCTTCATCTTCTGCCATGATTGTGAGGCCTCCCCAGCCATATGGAAATGTGAGTCCATTAAACCTCTTTTTCTTTATAAATTACCTCATCTCAGGGATTTCCTTATTAGTAGCGTGAGAACGGACTAAGAAAACAAATAATAATTATACATATTTATATGATACATAGTGATGTTTTGATATATATCATGTATGGTTATCTGATCTGGGTAATAAGCATATCTGTCATCACAAACATTTATCATTTCTTTGTGTTGTGAATATCCTGGGAAACAAGACAAAGACCAAATTTCAAAAGTGACTCAGCAGGTAAAATCTCAGAAGATTGGGGATTTGAAAATACTAGAAGTAAAGTTCAATTATTCCAAAAAGAATAATATAGGGCTTTGTATCTAAAAGCAGATTGGAAACTGGAAGATTGATGTAGATGGAGTGAAAAATAATAAACAAAACTTCTATTAATAGGAGCTTCTAGTCCAAGATCTCAGGAGTTCCACTGAAATCAATGCATATCACAGCCAATGGCAATAGGTATGTCTATAAGAGATGGGGAATAAATCACTCACTGGGATTTCCACATAAAGTAAGTATTGTCAAGAACTTGTCAATTCTCACAAAATATAGAGTTTTAAATTTGCTGTATTTCAAGGCTTTTATCAGGGCTTCCCAACATTATTTGTAATGAGACAAAGAGTGTACAAGTTAGCTAGGCCCTCAAAGTACATGCAGACAGCTGATTATCCCTAATATTTTCCTATATTAGCCGTGAGGTGTTTAAAATCCTTGAAAATATCTCAAGCATAAAAGTTCAAATTAAACTCACAATTTTGCCTATAACGTCTACTTCTTCAAAATTTCACCTAATTTCATTTTTGGAAATAAGAATAAAGCCAGATACATTTTAGAAATCAAAGAATCATTCTACATGCGTATATTAGTCTGTTTGCATTGCTGTAAAGGAATATCCTTGACTAGCTGGTTTATGAAGAAAAGATATTTATTTGGCCCACAGTTCTCCAGGCTTATATGAAGCATAGTGCCAGTATCTACTTCTGGTAAAAGCCTCAGGAAGCTTACAATCATGGTGGAAGGTGAAGAATAGCCAGCATGTTACATGGCAAGAAAGGAAGCAAGAAAGAAGGAGGTTCTGGCCTCTTTTAAACAACTAGATCTCAGGTGAACTCACAGAGGAAGAACTCACTCATTCTTGTAGGAACAGCATCAAGCCATTCATGAGGGATCTGCCCCCATGACCCAACCACCTCCCACTAAGCCCACTATGCCCACCTCTAACATTGGAGGTCACATTTCAACAAGTGATTTAGAGGCAACAAATCATCCAACAGAGTTGGAGGGGACAAAACATCCAAACCATATCAATGTTATTTCACCTCTTTCAGCCATGTACATCCATAAACCCACTAAGTATTACAATATTTATTGTCTAGTACATACTTATGGTAAGCAGAATTCGAAGATGGCCTCCAGAACCTTCAACCTCTGATGTATATATGTATTACATAATTTCTTCCCCCTGGGTCTGAACAGGACTTATGAATATAATGGGAAATAACTTTTGTGATTGCATTACATTAAATGGCATACGTGCCCTTAAGAAAGGGAGCTTATTCTATGTGGTCTGACCTAATCTGATGAGCCCTTAAAAGGTACTGTGATGTTCTACAAGAAACAGAGTCAACATCTGAGAGGAATTCAACGTGAAGAAGATTCTCCACTGCAGTTTTTGAATGGAGGAAGCCACATGGGAAGGAACGTGGGTAGCCTCCAGCAGCTTAGAACATTTTCTAGCTGATGATAGCAGGAGAACGGGATCTTCTGCTCGCAACCACAAGGAAGGGAATTCTGTTAATAAACTAAATGAGCTTAATAGAGTCAAAGAGAATTCCATGTTCCAGATAAGAACACAATCTGCTTGACATCAGCTCTTGAAGAACGTGAACAGAGAATTCAGTTATCCCTTCCCAGACTTCTGAACTGCAGAAACTATGATATACTAAATGGCTATTGGTTTAAGCCACTAACTCTGTGCTCATTTGTTACACAGCAATACAGAACTAAGACAGTATTTCTTGTACCAACCTCATCTACTTTTCTAAATCAATTATGGTAATACTTTACAAGTAAATACTTCTATAACACAGCCAGAGGCCAATAGTTCCCCAGGAAATGATTATTGGTTAAAGGCTGGGTATACAATGTAAGTTAACCTGGTAATACTGAACAAATAGCTTTTATTCTGTATTTGAAGGAGACATACATATAATATATAAATGAAGAAACCTGTTGCCTTAGATACTGCTATTCTGAGACCAAGAAGGAAGCTACCCTGTAGGTAAGCTGACAAGCAAAGAGAGAGTGTAGCTTAGAGAATGATAGAAAAATGACCACAGGTTTCTGATTCTACTATGCATGCAGTCCGTCCATGTTATCTGTTTACTTTCTAATTATGTGAAATAATGAATTAGTTTTCACTGATCAAGGCTAATTGAGCCAGATTTTTGTTAGATAGAAATAAAAGCATCACCTGTGTGACAACATACGGATGGCCAATCACAAAGAAGTTACAGAGAGAAGCTACTTCATTTGAGTTATAAATCTGTTTACATGGGAAATACAGTGTAATAACAAGGTTTAAAATTACCCATAAGTCATACAACTTTATTTATACAAAAAGCGTAATTTCTGATAAGTGCTAGCTTTGCTGACTACTCAAGAACACAATAAAATGAAATTCTATTCTTCATTTAACATTAACAAACAATGAAATAGTTAACTGTGATTTTGATATAACAGAAACCTTGGGAAAAAGTGAATGTTATCCTAGAATTTATTATACTTAAACAAAGGAGCACTTTTAAATGTACTATAGGTTTAATAAATCAAAAACTAACCTAAATAAAAAAAGAATCTTAATGGGAATATGGTTCAAGAATGGGTTACTAACATAAAGAATTAATTTCTGACTACAAAACCCACAAATGATTCTAATAAAAAATTGAAAGGATTCACAAAACATATTGTAATCTTATTGAGGAGTTCCTTATTGAGTTCAGATATGCCAGAGGGCTTATTTTTAAAAATGTCTCCATTCATTCAGTACGTGTAATTGTCTGAGATTTAGAGATATTGTGATCCCCTTATTGAAATCCAGGCTAACCACTTCGGAATTCTAGAATGAAAACCTGATGAAATAGGGGTTTTTATGTGTTTTGATTACTGCTGTACACATGGTAACATTCAATAAATATTTGTTGAAAGTATTTAGTTTCTGTTCAAGTCAGTAGATTAGCAGATTGTGTTTTTATATTTGCTTTTTACTTTCCCAAGTACACAGGTTAAAAAACAACACACAGAAATACAAAAAAGCAGCCGCTTATAAAAGAAGTGATTGGAGGGGGTTCCAAGAAAGAAAGAAATCAGTGAAAACGAGCAGCTACTCAGAATACAGTGCAGGGGCTGCAAAATAATTCTTTCCTCCAGGTGAATTTGATAAAACATCTGATGAGATCAAAGAATTCTACCTTGATTTTGACAAACAAGAAAAACACTCCTGTTATACTGGCATTCAGTGGGTGTTATATAAATGAGCCAAAGATGGCCTCTGTATATTGCCTCCTAGGTTGTCTACTTCTTCAAAACATGCTGCGGCCAGTTAGCTCAAAAGCCGTCTTGTCAGGAATGCAAGTTTTTACACACTCATTTGTTTCAAATGTAGTCTTAAATAAGCATATGTTTAGCCACTTAGAGCCTGCCTGCCTTGCATAACCCTCAAAACTGCCCAGGATGTACTAGCCATAAGTAAGATTAATCTCAGGGCTTTAAATACACCAGGCCACTGACCCAGATACTCCCTACCATGCTGCTGAGTCACGTCACCTAAACTTGTAAGCCCTCTCTCTGACTCCTCATACCCTCTCCATCTTCCTTGGCTTCCTCCCCTTCTGAATGACCAACCTTTCACCATAGCCTCTGGACAAGCTCATGCTGTGAGGGACTAACCCTGCATGCAAAACTGTCAAAAGGTGACCCCAGTAAGTCTTTTGTGTGATGCTGTCACCTTGCGGTCATGTCTTTGTCCTTGATTAGCCCCCAACTCAATTCCCAAATTAATCAATTTCTCAAATTCCTTTCAAAGGATGTGAGGATGAGGAAGGTCCAGACTGATAGTTGACTGCCAGTAGGCTGCATCTTAAAACACAGTCTGTCAATTTGTAAGCCTCACCTCTGTGTAGAGTGTTTCTTGCAGAGTTATTATCCAGGGAAACATCTTTTAAGAAACAGATGCAAAGAGTAGGAGAAATCCAAGCCTGGGAGGTCAAGGCTGCTGTGAGGCATAATCAGGCCACTTCACTCCTGCTTGAGCAACAGAGTGAGACTGTGACTCAAAATAAACAAAAAAAAAAGTAGGAAAAAGCCACATAGCTATTTAGTCTTTTTCATTTTAATTGTAATTTAAGAAATGCATACACAGAACATTTGGAACACAACAAAACGATCAGAATTTGAATAACATAACACTGTTTAAGGTATCAGCACTCTGATTTCCTTCAGGTAAACTATTACTTCCCGAATTTCAGTACATGTGGTTTTGGTGTCACTTTTCCTCAATCTATTATTTCAGTAGTGCATGTGTCCTCTGCCCATTTAATCAAGATAATTCAACTTCCTGGCTTCCGTGATTGACTGTAAACATGAAGACACTAGTCACCATGTAGCCAACTCGAGAAGAAAGCCTAGTTAAGATAAAATCAGACAAAGAAAAGTGGAAAGATGGTGGAGGTGAAAAAAAGAGAAAGAAAAAACTAGTGACATCAGCTGAACTTCTGGACCTATTTATGTTTAAGATATGAACAAAATTATGCATAATGAAAGCTCTATTTTGAACTTTCATAAAATATAATTACAATTTCCTGAAACCATTTTAACTGGGGTTCCTATACTTGCAACATAAAAAGTAGTGGATAAAAACCACAGCTATTGGTACTAGTTAATGTACTAGAAAAAACAAATTAGGAAAATATATACTATTTAAAATTCCTCATAAGGCTAAGTTGGAATGAAAGAATAAGATCTCCATTCATATTATAGAATAAGTTTCTGGCTGTCCATGAGACTCTGTGATAAAACTGTAGATGAATTATTCCTCATGATTACCTAGAGCAATGTATTCATTGAGGATGTGGCAGTAAGACATCTTTCTTCTCTAAGTAACAAAACTTCCAACTCCAACTACCCCAATAATTTGTATTTTGGAGTGGGGTGAGGGATTGTAACTGTAAAGACCAAAAGTAGCAGAAAAATCATATGTGTGGTTTGCTTGGCCTCCAGCTGCCATTTATCTGAATTTTCTGATTTTTTTTCTTCTTAGTCCTACCCTATATGCAGCCTTTTTTCTTACTGTGGCTTTTCTCACTGCTAAAAAAAAAAAAAAAAAAAAAAAAAAAAACCAAGAATGGAGCAGTTCTAACCTTCATATGAGTATATGAGTATATCATTTTTAAAGTGTTCTAGAGTCAATCTTCAAATTCAGCCTAAATGGACAAACTAGGTTACATATCCACTCATGATTTTTGCTAGGGGGATAAAATGTACTGATTACCTAAAGAAAGTCATGGCCTTTCTCTAGAGCTGCAATGAAGGAAACCTCTATGTAATACAGGGACATAAAAGGAAATTAAATTGTTGGTACATTTAGGACAGGACAAAAGAGGGGAATGAATGCTAGAAAACCAAACAGCAACTGTCTATTAGTTAGGATGAAATTCTGGGAAACCAGATTACCCCTACTATAAAGAAATTAAAATTACTATGTCATAGGTCAGATGGACACTTCAAATGGTATTTGATAAATGAGTCAAAATAAAGGGCAAATCAAATTCCTAAATGTTCTCCTAAGGAATGAAACAACCTTCAAAGATTTCTCATGACCTAGTTGAAAAAATAAGATATTGCTGGCAACAGAAATCACTGAAGACCAAATTCAGATATTGTCTCTGCAGCTTGCAGAATTACAATACCAGTTGATTTACAGCTTGACCATATATTTTATGTGAATGTTAGGGCATTGATCATAAAAGATTAGACTCTTACTAATTGCTAAGAAGATACTACAGATTAATTAAAAGACATGAAACAGATCAACCTCCAAAATTCCAATGAAACATGACTTACTGTACATCTCGTTTAGAAATTCAGTATCATCCATGCCTGAAGAAGCTGTCCTTAGATATAAAAAGAAAACTAAAGTTCATCTTGTCCAGTGGTTGGATACTGAATGACAAGTAAAAGGAATATAAATTCAACATGGCTTGGGTGGAGTAAGAGATTATGGTAAAATTTATAATTAGAGCAAGAAATAAAGTGTTATACACAAAAAGAATCAAGGGAATTTGCCATTAAAATATATGTATCAAATTTGTAGAAATGAATATGAAAGATGCTTAACAAAGTTGAGTAAGGCATAATTTTAAAGCATCCTGAATTCATTGATATATAGAGCTGTGATTCAATAGGCTAATTTAGGATAAGTATTCAAACTGTTTGATGGGCCCATTGCTGACCCACTGGGAAGATGAAACTCTTAAATTAGAGTCCGTGAGCTACACAAGGTTATATAGTTGCCAATAGTCTGCCAAGATGGTTCAGAGCCTGTGAAGAAGCAACAAGTTTGGCAACCAGTTAGTAAATAGTACTGTAGGCATTTGGGGTAACGAAGGTTGAGGTTGGATATCTCAGAATGGGCAGAGAGCATGAGAAAATTGTATTCCACATTCCACATGAACCTCAAAAGGAGCTTATTGCAGAAGTGTGGAGTTTAGATGAATTGTGCTGCAGATATCAGTCAGACTTTTACCTTAGGTACCCTGAACTTCTTTCCTCCATGGTCTCATAAACATAATGGCCATGATACCAGGAATAAAGACTATCCAAGAGTTTAACCAATATAATCTAACCAAGTAGGTTCTAGCTATTGCACTGATGATTACTGAATTTTTCCAAGAATACTCACAACCTCTGAGCATATTTACGTGGAAGCATTATTCTGACAGGAGCAGGTTGATTATTTTGGATCTGCAAAGTGACAATGACTGATGGAAAATAATTGATTTGGCAAAAACTACTTGTATGTACAATATAAGTAATGCATATAATAATTTACCTGCATGAAGATTCCTGACAGAGTGTAAGTGCATCACTTACCATTGCAAGAGGGTGATTTCATGACCCTGCAGTCCCCAAAATTACCCTGCTGCTCCTGATATTACTTGTCACCTCTTCAGAAAAATTATCTTTGAAATTTGTACCTGTCTTCTAACTGCTTGATGACTGTAGCTATATATTTGGCACACAATAACTGCTAAAAAATAAATAATTATTTTTCTAAAAACAGAAAAAAAAAAAAAAACATGATCTACATTCAATCTTCCAAAATCAGTTGACCAACTGTACCATTCACATGGCAGTTCCCAGCCATCCTTATGTACTTTTCTGGAGAGATGTTGCCAGTGTTCCATTCATATTTCTCCAACTTTCCAGTATGCTCTGACAGAGGTCCAACTGGTAGTATATACATCTTTGTTACTGAGTGTTTCCACCACCACCACCCCAGCCGCCACTCCCAACTGGGTTGCTTGGCCTGCATGTGCATGCCAGAAGTACTGAAGAAATGAATACCCCATTGAAATTCTTAGCTAACAATTCTTAGGATTTCGTATATGAATGCCCCACTTATTTCACTTTTCTGGTGGAATAATTTTGAGACATTCTTGTTGCAATTTCCCCAAGTGTCCCTGTGGGATGAAGTCCAGTTGCTCGTGGTTGCCCTGTTTTGTATGCATCACTTTCCTAGTTCCACATTTGTGTGCCCTGCCTTTTCAAATACACGACGTGCTTTGAATCCTTGTTTTGAGATCTGCTTCTGAAAAAGCCCGATCTTTTTCCTTCATGAAGGAGATGGAGATGTATGATCATTGAAAGTGATAATTTATCTGCATTCAGATTTTATTTCCCTCCCTCTCTGCTAACACTATCCATATACGAACTGAATGCTATATACACTGCCATAATAACTCACACACCATGACTTCCAATACAACTTTTACTGCTCAGAAAAAGAAAGAAGGCTGTGGATTGATGTCAATTGGATTCACTAGTCGTATCATGCTGTCCATCAACCAGAGCCCCTGACATTATTGAATAGTGGCATCACCCAACCACCAGATGGGATACAACACTTACAAGGTAAATGAATGTGTACAGTGAAAAAGGGACCAATACATACTTGGATTTATAGATTTTATTTCTGTGCCTTATTTTCTCATCTCTAAAGTAGGAATAATAATAGCCCTATCTCACAGGGTAAAGACTAAATGAGATAATACATATGGAATAAGTTTCTGTAATAGGACTGTACTATCTCTGGCAAGGTTTAGCTCAAAACATAAAGCCAGAAACAATGAATACTAATCATATCCACACTTTAAAGCAAAATGCCAAAGCATCTATATAAAATATGATATAAATAAACTAAGAAAATTATTTTTCTGCCCATAGCTCACATTTTAAAGTATATGAGAAGAGGCTTAAAGATCGAACAGAATAAGATTAAAGCATAAAGATTTCTTCAGGAAGTTATGTAGATATTTTTTCTGCGAACTTCGGAGAACTTCTACATATAAGGTTGCTTCAAGAAAACTACTAAAATAGCTTAACATGTGGGATGCAAGGACGGATACTTGACTCACTCATGCCTAAAAAGGCTAACCATGAGAAAGAGGCTTGAGGTGCCTATCCAGGGACAGAAAAGGAGGCAGGCTGCATGGACATAGCACACCATGAGCACAAGTAGGGCAAAGGTTGATGTTTCCCCATAGATGGTGTGGACTTTGCAGATGGGTGTCAGTCCTAGGTTATCTTGAAAGACACTTCCTGTAAGACCAAAGTGGCCACAATAGAATGCTTAAACTATGGCTCGAAAAACAAGTCAGTTAGTAAATAACCAAGGGATGCAAGTTGCCTCATCAAGAAACTAGAAATGAAAATCCTCAATAATTAGGTTTTCTGAAAAGCCTTCAGTAGAATTAATATTTAGACAGCTGACACACAAATGGGCACTGATATCATACGTTATGTCAAGTAAGCATTTTTTTCTATTTCCTTTTCTCCCCGTCTGTTTTCTTGAAGGGATTCTTCTGTTGCTTCCCCACACTGTTGTCTGTGACTGCTGAACCTGACTGAAGAAGCTGACATGGAAGTCATCCTCAACCCTTCCACTTCAAGTTTCTGAGACTGAATCAGAACTGGGCTTTGGGAGGAAAACTTCTTAATCAAGTAAGAAATTGCTTTGAACTTGAGTAAGCTTTTTAAAACCTAAAATTTACCAGAGAAACAGTGAGATCCACAAGGGTTGTATATAGGGGCAAGGAAGGATAATTTGAAGCACTTCTTTATGACTTTGTTCCTTAAAGTATGGTTGACACAGCAATAGCAGCAGCACCCCAGAACTTCTTAGGACTAGAGAATCTTGGGTACTTTCTGGGTCTCCTGGATCAGAATATAAATTTCAACAACTTCCCCAGGCGGTGTACATTAAAGTGCCCTGGTTTATATAACAGTAGTAAGAAAGAGTAGGATTAATTATTTTCATGCAAACTTTTGATTCCAGGTCATTCAATAGCCTAATGATATGTGCAAAGTATTTAGAAGAATTTTTACTGTTATAGAACTGAATAAGAAGTCTTAAGATACCATTGGAATTAATTGGTGAGGCAGCTTCTTTTTTTTTCTTTTTAATGACAAGACAGACTCCCTGTAAAGACCAAAAATTTAAAAAATGTAAAACATGTCTGCTTAGTGGGGAATCAACTCTAACAAGAAAGATACTCCATGTAAATAGCTTTTAAGGGCTTCCTGCAAAGTTATGAATTCTCTCTCTGGGTCTGTTTCTCTCTATAAACATATACATGCACACATATATACATATGTACACATACATGCATATATAGATATATATATATACACACATATGCCTCTATATGTATACACACACACTTTTATTTTGTGTAAGGATATATGTCTATATGAAGTTAATATATTTATATTATATAAACTGTTATTATTACTAATCTCTATTAAATTATTATGCATCTAGATATGTCTCCTCTGACAAATCTAGATACCTAAAGTCAAACTATATTATTTGAATGAATGATTCAATGGTCATATATCATTTTCTTTTCTCTATGTAGCTAAAAAGTAAAAGGGTTTTATAAATTTTATAAGTAAATGTTTTATAAGTAAAATGATATTTTAAAGGAGTATAATAGAAAAAAATTATCTTTGGGGAAGAAAAGGGAAACATAATTGAAGGGGCATGGGGAGGTGTCTCCTCAGTCAAAAGACTGTAAGAAACTAAGATAGGCAGCTTTTGGCTGATGCGGAGCTGTGGGCGGTAGACAGTCCTTGCCTGATTAAAGCAGATAATTTAGTGGCTTGGGATTTTGAGCTTTGACATTTCAGTGCCAATCATAACCAGGGAGTAGTACCCCAACAGCTGGGATCCTTCTAATACCTTCAGGGAACAAACTTTCTTTTTTTTTCCTGCAAGAACTTAATCCCTACTCAACTACTTTCTGGGCCAAAAGTCTCTCTAAGGCTTTACAGAAAAACTCATACTTAAGAAAAAATAAAAATAAAAAAGGCATTTAACCATCTTACTCATCTACTTCTTTCAATTCCCTGTGACCTTTAAAAAGTCGGTTGCACATTCAGTTATTTTATAAGTCACAGTAGGTTCAAATTAATCTCAGGGATAGGCTATTTTATAACTAGTTAAAGAAATAGCAGAGAATTTAAAAAACCCTTGTCACTATCTCTGCCATAACAAAAATGTTATTTTTCGGAGCTTATTATATTTACTACATTTTATATTTTCACCTTATAATTTATAGACATAGTAAAAAACAAAAAAATCTACTTTTCAAATGTGGAAATATAAGCTAAGTATAAATTAATAAAAATTAACATACAAAGGATATTTGCTGGCTGTAATTTCATTTAAACAAAATAGTATCAAGCACCTTTTATATACCCAGTAAAGTGACTATTACGAACTTATTGCATCACAGATAATGAATAATCACCAGAAAGTAAAATGTGCTGCCAGTTTAAGTTCCTTCTCAATTACCACTTGAACATTTATCTTACAGTGTCTTAACACTCAAACATACTTACCTATACAACCACCTCCCAAAGATCTATCAGGTTTATTTTATTTTATTTTATTTTAATAAATAATAGGAGGTCTGGGCATGGTGGCTTACACCGGTATTCCCAGCACTTTGGGAGGCTGAGGCGGTAGATAACTTGAGGTCAGAAATTCAAAACTAGCCTGGCCAACATGGTGAAACCCCTTCTCTACTAAAAATACAAAAAGTAGCCAGGCGTGGTGGCACATGCTTGTAATCTCAGCTACTTGGGAGGTGGAGGCAGGAGGACCGCTAGAACCAAAGAGGGAGAGGTTGTGGTGAGCTGAGATTGCACCACTGCACTCCAGCCTGGGCAACAGAGACTCCACCTAAAAAAAAAAAAAAAAAAAAAAAAAAATACCAAATATTCAATCAAGTCATATAAAATTAATCTTTTTTCCCACAAAATATTTTCAACTTTATTTATTGTCTGTGTCTGAAGAAGAATTGAGCTTGACATAAGGTACTGACACAACCCAAATCTAACAGTCAGATAAGCACATTTCTTTTATATACTTTAAGTTCTAGGGTATATGTGCACAACGTGCAGGTTTGTTACATATGTATACATGTGCCATGTTGGTGTGCTGCACCCATTAACTCGTCATTTACATTAGGTATATCTCCTAATGCTATCCCTCCCACCTCCCCTGACCCCACAACAGGCCCCCTGGTGTGTCACGTTCCCCTTCCTGTGTCCAAGTGTTCTCATTGTTCAATTCCCACCTATGAGTGAGAACGTGCAGTGTTTGGTTTTTTGTCCTTGCAATAGTTTGCTGAGAATGATGGTTTCCAGATTCATCCATGTCCCCACAAAGGACATGAACTCATCCTTTTTTATGGCTGCATAGTATTCCATTGTGTATATGTGCCACTTTTTCTTAATCCACTCTATCATTGATGGACATTTGGGTTGGTCCCAAGTCTTTGCTATTGTGAATAGTGCCACAATAAACATACGTGTGCATATGTCTTTATAGCAGCATGATTTATAATCCTTTGGGTATATACCCAGTAATGGGATGGCTGGGTCAAATGGTATTTCTAGTTCTAGATCCTTGAGGAATCACCACACTGTCTTCCACAATGGTTGAACTAGTTGACAGTCCCACCAACAGTGTAAAGTGTCCCTATTTCTCCACATCCTCTCCAGCACCTGTTGTTTCCTGACTTTTTAATGATCACCATTCTAACTGGTATGAGATTGTATCTCATGTGGTTTTGATTTGCATTTCTCTGATGGCCAGTGATGATGAGCATTTTTTAATGTGTCTGTTGGCTGCATAAATGTCTTCTTTTGAGAAGTGTCTGTTCATATCCTTTGCCCATGTTTTGATGGGGTTGTTTGTTTTTTTCTTGTAAATTTGTTTGAGTTCATTGTAGATTCTGGATATTAGCCCTTTGTCAGATGAATAGATTGCAAAAATTTTCTCCCATTCTGTAGGTTGCCTGTTCACTCTGATGGTAGTTTCTTTTGCTGTGCAGAAGCTCTTTAGTTTACTTAGATCCCATTTGTCAATTTTGGCTTTTGTTGCCATTACTTTTGGTGTTTTAGACATGAAGTCTTTACCCATGCCTATGTCCTGAATGGTATTGCCTAGGTTTTCTTCTAGGGTTTTTATGGTTTTAGGTCTAACATTTAAGTCTTTAATCCATCTTAAATTAATTTTTGTATAAGGTGTAAGGAAGGGATCCAGTTTCAGCTTTCTACATATGGCTAGCCAGTTTTCCTAGCACTATTTATTAAATAGGGAATCCTTTCCCCATTTCTTGTTTTTGTCAGGTTTGTCAAACATTAGATGGTTGTAGATGTGTGGTATTATTTCTGAGGGTTCGGTTCTGTTCCATTGGTCTATAATTCTGTTTTGGTAACAGTACCATATTGTTTTGGTTACTGTAGCCTTGTAGTATAGTTTGAAGTCAGGTAGCATGATGCCTCCAGCTTTGTTCTTTTGGCTTAGGATTGACTTGGCAATGTGGGGCCTTTTTTGGTTCCATATGAACTTTAAAGTAGGTTTTTCCAATTCTATGAAGAAAGTCATTGGTAGCTTGATGGGGATGGCATTGAATCTATAAATTACCTTGGACAGTATGGCCACTTTCACGATATTGGTTCTTCCTATCCATGAGCATGGAATGTTCTTCCAATTGTCTGTGTCCTCTTTTATTTCGTTGAGCAGTGCTTTGTAGTTCTCCTTGAAGAGGTCCTTCACATCCCTTGTAAGTTGGATTCTTAGGTATTTTATTCTCTTTGAAGGAATTGTGAATGGGAGTTCACTCATGATTTGGCTTTCTGTTTGTCTGTTATTGGTGTATAAGAATGCTTCTGATTTTTGCACATTGATTTTGTATCCTGAGACTTTGCTGAAGTTGCCTATCAGCTTAAAGAGATTTTGGGCTGAGACGATGGGGTTTTCTAAATATAAAATCATGTCATCTGAAAACAGGGACAGTTTGACTTCTTCTTTTCCAAATTGAATACCCTTTTTTTCTTTCTCCTTCCTGATTGCCCTGGCCAGAACTTCCAACATTATGTTGAATTGGAGTGGTGAGAGAAGGCATCCCTGTCTTGTGCCAGTTTTAAAAGGTAATGCTTCCAGTTTTTGCCCATTCAGTATGATATTGGCTGTGGGTTTGTCATAAATAGCTCTTATTATTTTGAGATACGTCCCATCAATATCTAATTTATTGATAATTTTTAGTATGAAGGGCTGTTGAATTTTGTCAAAGGCCTTTTCTGCATCTATTGAGATAATCATGTGGTTTTTTTCTTTGGTTCTGTTTATATGCTGGATTGTGTTTATTGATCTGCATATGTTGAACCAGCCTTGCATCCCAGGGATAAAGCCCACTTGATCATGGTGGATAAGTTTTTGATGTGCTGCTGGATTTGGTTTGCCAGTATTTTATTGAGGATTTTTGCATCGATGTTCATCAGGGATATTGGTCTAAAATTCCCTTTTTTTGTTGTGTGTCTGCCAGGCTTTGGTATCAGGATGATACTGCCCTCATAAAACGAGTTAGGGAGGATTCCCTCTTTTTCTATTGATTGGAATAGTTTCAGAAGGAATGGTACCAGCTCCTCCTTGTACCTCTGGTAGAATTCGGCTGTGAATCCATCTGGTCCTGGACTTTTTTTGGTTGTTAGGCTATTAATTATTGCCTCAATTTCAGAGCCTGTTATTGCTCTATTCAGGGATACAACTTCTTCCTGGTTTATTCTTCGGAGGGTGTATATGTCCAGGAATTTATCCATTTCCTGTAGATTTTCTAGTTTATTTGTGTAGAGGTGTTTATAGTATTCTCTAATGGTAGTTTGTATTTCTGTGGGATCGGTGGTGATATCCTTTTTATCATTTTTTATTGCATCTACTTGATTCTTGTCTCTTTTCTTCTTTATTAGTCTTGCTAGTGGTCTATCAATTTTGTTGATCTTTTCAAAAAACCAGTTCCTGGATTCGTTGATTTTTTGAAGGTTTTTTTGTGTCTCTATTTCCTTCAGTTCTGCTCTGATCTTAGTTATGTCTTGCCTTCTGCTAGCTCTTGAATGTGTTTGCTCTTGTTTCTCTAGTTCTTTTAATTGTGATGTTAGGGTGTCAATTTTAGATCTTTCCTGCCTCCTCTTGTGGGCATTTAGTGCTATAAATTTCTCTCTGCACACTGCTTTGAATGTGTCCCAGAGATTCTGGTATGTTGTGTCTTTGTTCTCATTGGTTTCAAAGAACATCTTTATTTCTGCCTTCATTTTGTTATGTACCCAGTAGTCATTCAGGAGCAGGTTGTTCAGTTTCCATGTAGTTGAGCGGTTTTGAGTGAGTATCTTAATCCTGAGTTCTAGTTTGATTGCACTGTGGTCTGAGAGACAAGTTTGTTATCATTTCTGTTCTTTTACATTTGCTGACGATTGCTTTACTTCCAACAATGTGGTCAATTTATGTGGTCAATTTTGGAATAAGTGCGATGTGCTGAGAATAATGTATATTCTGTTGATTTGGAGTGGACAGTTCTGTAGGTGTCTATTAGGTCTGCTTGGTGCAGAACTGAGTTCAATTCCTGGATATCCTTTTTAACTTTCTCTCTTGTTGATTTTTCTAATGTTGACAGTGGTGTGTTAAAGTCTCCCATTATTATTGTGTGGGAGTCTAAGTCTCTTTGTAGGTCTCTAAGGACTTTATGAATCTGGGTCCTCCTGTATTGAGTGCATATATATTTAGGATAGTTAGCTCTTCTTGTTTCATTGACCCCTTTACCATTATGTAATGGCCTTCTTTGTCTCTTTTGATCTTTGTTGGTTTAAAGTCTGTTTTACCAGAGACTAGGATTGCAACCCCAGCCTTTTTTTGTTTTCCATTTGCTTGGTAGATCTTCCTCCATCCCTTTATTTTGAGTCTATGTGTGTCTCTGCACGTGAGATGGGTCTCCTGAACACAGCACACTGGTGGGTCTTGACTCTTTATCCAATTTGCCAGTCTATGTCTTTTAATTGGAGCATTTAGCCCATTTACATTTAAGGTTAATATTGTTATGTGTGAATTTGATCCTGTCATTATGAGGTTAGCTGGTTATTTTGCTCGTTAGTTGATGCAGTCTCTTCCTAGCCTCAATGGTCTTTACAATTTGGCATGTTTTTGCAGTGGCTGGTACCGGTTGTTCCTTTCCATGTTTAGTGCTTTCTTCAGGAGCTCTTTTAGGGCAGGCCTGGTGGTGACAAAATCTCTCAGCATTTGCTTGTCTGTAAAGTATTTTATTTCTCCTTCACTTATGAAGCTTAGTTTGGCTGGATATGAAATTGTGGGTTGAAATTCTTTTCTTTAAGAATGTTGAATATTGGCCCCCACTCTCTTCTGGCTTGTAGAGTTTTTGCCGACAGATCAGCTCTTAGTCTGATGGGCTTCCCTTTGTGGGTAACCCGACTTTTCTCTCTGGCTGCCCTTAACATTTTTTCCTCCATTTCAACTTTGGTGAATCTGACAATTATGTGTCTTGGAGTTGCTCTTCTCAAGGAGTATCTTTGTGATGTTCTCTGTAATTCCTGAATTGAATGTTGGCCTGCCTTGCTAGGTTTGGGAAGTTCTCCTGGATAGTTTCCTGCACAGTGTTTTCCAACTTGATTCCATTCTCCCCGTCACTTTCAGGTACACCAATCAGATGTAGATTTGGTCTTTTCACATAGTCCCATATTTCTTGGAGGCTTTGATCATTTCTTTTTACTCTTTTTTCTCTACACCTCTGTTCTCGCTTCATTTCATTCATTTGATCTTCAATCACTGATACCCTTTCTTCCAGTTGATCAAATGGGCTACTGAAGCTTGTGCATTTGTCGCATAGTTCTCGTGTCATGGTTTTCAGCTCCAGCAGATCATTTAAGGACTTCTCTACACAGGTTATTCTAGTTAGCCATTCATCTAATCTTTTTTCAGGGTTTTTATCTTCTTTGCGATGAGTTCGAACTTCCTCCTTTAGCTCAGAGAAGTTTGATCATCTGAAGCCTTCTTCTCTCAACTCGTCAAAGTCATTCTCCATCCAGCTATGTTCCATTGCTGGCAAGGAGTTGCATTCCTTTGGAGGGGGAGAGGCATTCTGATTTTTAGAATTATCAGCTTTTCTGTTCTGTTTTTTCCCCATCTTTGTGGTTTTATCTACCATTGGTCTTTGATGATGGTGATGTACAGATGGGATTTTGGTGTGGATGTCCTTTCTGTTTTTTAGTTTTCCTTCTAACAGTCAGTACCCTCGGCTGCAGGTCTGTTGAGTTTTTTGAAGGTCCCCTCCAGACCCTGTTTGCCTAGGTATCAGCAGTGGAGGCTGCAGAACAGCGGATATTGGTGAGCAGCAAATGTTGCTGCCTGATCGTTTCTCTGGAAGCTTCGTCTCAGAGGGGTACCCGGCCGTGTGGGGTGTCAGTCTGCTCCTACTGGGGGATGCCTCCCAGTTAGGCTACTCTGGGGTCAGGGACCCACTTGAGGAGGCAGTCTGTCCATTCTCAGATCTCAAACTCCATGCAGGGAGAACCACTACTCTCTTCAAAGCTGTCAGACAGAGACATTTAAGTCTGCAGGGGTTTCTGCTGCCTTTTGTTCGGCTATGCCCTGCTCCCAGAGGTGGAGTCTACACAGGCAGGCCTCCTTGAGCTGCGGTGGGCTCCACCAAGTTCGAGCTTCCTGGCTGCTTTGTTTACCCTCTCAAGCCTCAGCAATGTCAGGAACCCCTCCCCCAGCCTCGCTGCCACCTTGCAGTTCCATCTCAGACTGCTGTGCTAGCAATGAGTGAGGCTCTGTGGGTGTGGGAACCTCTGAGCAAGGCGCGGGATATCATCGCCTGGTGTGCCATTTGCTAAGACCATTGGAAAAGCATAGTATTAGGGTGGGAGTCACCTGATTTTGCAGGTGCCGTCTGTCACAGCTTCTCTTGGCTAGGAAAGGGAATTCCCTTACCCCTTGCATTTCCCAGGTGAGGCGATGCCCCGCCCTACCTCGGCTCATGATCCGTGGGCTGCGCCCACTGTCCTGCACTGACTGTCTGACAAGCCCCAGTGAGATGGTTCTGGTACCTCAGTTGGAAATGCAGAAATCACCTGTCTTCTGCGTCACTCATGCTGGGAGCTGTAGACTGGAGCTGTTCCTATTCAGCCATCAGATAAATACATTTTTAGATTAAATGAAATATAATGCCATGCCATGCATAGGTTTACTTAGATAAACGATCCAGTGACTCTTTATCTGTTCACAGTTGTTTCAAAACGTTTTTTAGAACCATTTTGTTTTGTCAATTAAAAAAAAAAGATTAAAGTAATTAATGATATTCTTCAAACAGCTGCTCAGTCCACACTGATGGAACAAAACTCCAAACTACACACCTTCATCTTTAATATAGCCTTTGATAAACCACGCTTTTTTTTTTTTGAAAATACATGATGCTTCCTGATTCACATTTTGAATTCCTAAGTAGGCTGGGAGAGGGGGAAGGAAAGAGCTCCCACTTCATATAGTCAGAGTGCACTAGGTGGTAAATTAGTAGATGTCTCACCTCCTAATCTTAATGAGGTGGACAAACATACCTAGAATATCCTTGACAAAAATAAATGGATCCCTATACCAATACAAATAGAAAAAAATAACTGGAAATAAAGGAAACATTCCTTACTACAGCTCATTTCTTTTGGGAATTTTTAATAACTGTTCAGTTAGCTATAGGCAACTAAAAGTGGCCAGTGATATACAGGAGAAATTTTCAAGTAATGTATGCTATAATGTGTGCTATAATGTTGTTTATTAAAAGTTTCTTATCTCATTATATTAATTTAAAAGACTTTAAACATGCTCTCAAGAAGTTGTACAAATATAATACCCACAAAAGAGTAAACAAAAACTCCAAAGAAATGGAAATTTATCCATTTTTTAAAATGCTGAATTTGAGTTGGTCAAAGGTAGCAATTGATGAGTACAGTGGTTTCTGTGTACAATAATAAATAGAGAGAGAAAGATATTTATTGTAAGGTGTTGGCTCACACAGTTACAAAGGCTGAGAAGTCCCATAATCTGCCATCTATACCAGAAAAGCCTATGGTATATTTAAAAGACTTGAGAGCCAGCAAGCTGATGGTGTAGATTTCAGTCTGATTCTGAAACCTAGAATCAGGAGCACTTAGGACAGGATATTGATCCCAGCTCAAGCAGTTAGGCAGAGAAAATTCAACCTTTTTGATTTACTTGGATCCTCATATAGATTGGGTTGTGCCCATTTATACTGGGGAGGACCACCTGCCTCACTCAGTACCAATTCAAATGCTAGTTTCCTCTGAAAATAGCCTCACAGACAACCAAGAAATAATGTCCAACCAGATATCTGGGAATCCCATGGCCCAGTCAAGTTGACACATAAAATCAGTCATCACAATTTTAAAAATGCAATTTATTTTGCATATTGATTTTGTGTGCTACTCTCTTGCTGAACTTATTTATTTATTTATTTATTTATTTATTTATTTATTTTTCTTTGAGATGGAGTCTCGCTCTGTTGCCCAGGCTAGAGTGCAGCAGCACCATCTTGGCTCACCACAACCTCTGCCTCCTGGGTTCAATTGATTCTCCTGCCTCAGCCTCCCCAGTAGCTGGGATTACAGGCACCCGCCACCATGCCCAGCTAATTTTTGCATTTTTAGTAGAGACAGGGTTTCAACACGTTGGCCAGGGTGGTCTTGAACACCTACCTCTGGTGATCCGGCTGCCTCGGCCTCTCAAAGTGCTGGGATTATAGGTGTGAGACACCGTGCCTGGCCTTATTTATTAATTCTAATAACTTTTAGTGAATTTCCTTGGTTTCTCTATATAAAATACCACATTATCTGCAAATAGTGATAGTTCTACTTCTTCCTTTCTAATCCAAATGCATTTTTTCATTACCTAATTGCCCTTCCCCTGGTTAGAACCTCCAGTACTGTTAAATGTTAACTAGTGAGAACAAAAATCCTTATCCTGCTCCCGCTCTTATAAAAAAAAAAAAAGACATCCAGCCTTCATCATTAAGTATGATGTTAGCTACAGATTTTTTGTATCTGCCTTTTTCCATGTTGAGAAAAGTCTCTTCTATGCTAAGTTTTTTCATGAAAGAGTATTTGATTTTATCAAGTACTTTTTCTACATTTGTTGAGAAAATCTTGTGGGTATTTTTTTTGTTTTTTAATCTGTTGATATGATATGTTACATTACTCGATTGCTAGATAAGCCAACCTTGCATTTCTCAGATAAATCCAACTTAGTCATTGTGAAAGGAAAACAAATCTCAAGACCCTAAAATCACTAAGCCAAAGGGACCTGCATCAGGCAAATCTGCCTCCCATTTTATTTCTAAATGAGACAGCTATAAAAATTAAAAAGCTACCATACCTCCTTCACAATTTGTGAAGAAGGAAATTCTTTGGGGGCCTCAAAAATCTTTGCCCTAAAACAGATCTGTTGAATTTCACCTTGGCAATGTAATTTGATAGATTATCTTCACAGGTGCAGGACAAAGGACAGAACTCAAAGTCATCCCTCTGCTCACCCAGACAAATAATATATGCCTGTTTGCTTCCTCTGTCCTCTTGTTTATTTAAGAATGCAGATTCACTAAGCCAGACTAAGGCATAAGTGACTATTCCTCTATCTTCCTCATATGTAAATTGTGTTTTCAGTGAAAGGGTAATCAGAAACTCAAAAGAATGCAACAATTTGTCTCTTATCTACCTATGAACTGGAAGTCCTACCCCTACCACTCTCCCCAACTTTGAGTCATGTTGTCTCGCCTTTCTGGACAGAACCAATGTACCTCTTACACATATTGATTAATGTCTCTTGTTTCCCTAAAATGTATAAAACCAAGCTGTGAGCCAACTACCGTTGGCACGTGTCCTTAGGACCTCCTGAGGCTGTGTCACAGGTTTGTCCTTAATCTTGGCAAAATAAACTTTCTAAATTGATTGAAATCTGTCTCAGATACTTTTGGATCACATCATGAAGTATAATTATTTCTGTTTGTTGCTGGATTTGATTTGCTATTATTTTGTTGAGGACTTTTGTATCCATATTTATAAGAAATATTGGTCTGAATGTTTTTTCTCTTGCAAAGTCTTTTTATGATTTTGGTATGTCTAGCCTCAAAAAAATGTGGCACATATACACAGTGGAATACTATGCAGCCATAAAAAATGAAGAGTTCATGTCCTTTGTACGGACATGGATGAAACTGGAAACCATCATTCTCAGCAAACTATCACAAGGACAAAAAACCAAACACCACATGTTCTCACTCATAGGTGGGAATTGAACAATGAGAACACATGGACACAGGAAGGGGAACATCACACTCTGGGGACTGTTTTGGGTTGGGGGGAGGGGGGAGGGATAGCATTAGGAGACATACCTAATGCTAAATGACGAGTTAATGGGTGCAGCACACCAACATGGCACATGTATACATATGTAACAAACCTGCACATTGTACACATGTACCCTAAAACTTAAAGTATAATAATAATAAAATAAAATAATAAAAGATTACAACTTTTTCCTCTCGTTCTATTATTTGAAAGATTTTTTGAAGAATTGGTGAATTCAGTCTGCTTAACATAGTTGGAATAATTTCACACTGAAGGATCTAGGCCTGGTCTTTTCTTTGTGGGTAATCCTTTTATTACTGATTCAAACACTTTATTTGTTATAGTTTTATTCATATTGTATTTTCTCAAGTCAGTTTTAGAGTTTGCATGTTCCCAGGAATGTGTGCAATCCATCTAAATTATCTAATTTTTCAACATATGCAATATTCATAATATTCGGATAAGGTCTGTAATAATGTCTCCCCCGCTTTTATTTCTCATGCCAGTACTTTAAGTGCTTTCTCTCATTTTGTTTGTTTGTTTGTTTTAGTCAATCCTGCGAGAAGTTTGTTATTTTAATTGACCATTTAAAAGAAACAACTTTGGTTTCATTGATTTTTTTGTTTGTTTTTCTATTATCTATTTCATTAACTTCTGCTCTAATATTTATTGTTTTCTTTGCTTTCAATTTAGTTTTCTCTTCTTTTTCTTGTGTAGTAAGATAGAAGTTTAGATTATTGATTTGAGATCTTTCTTTTTTCTGCATATAGTTAGTTGTAACTATCAATTTCCCTCTAAGTATTGCTGTAATTGCATTTGATACATTTTGATATGATGTGTCTTCAGTTTTATTTATATCAAAGTATTGTCTAATTTCTCTTTGATTTGGGAAATTTTCAGCCATTACTTTTTCAAATTTTTTTCTCTTCATTTTCTTCTCTTTCTGGTAGTGCTATTATGTGTGTTGTATTAGTCCATTTTCATGCTGCTCATAAAGACATACTCAAGATTAGATAATTTACAAAAGAAAAAGGTTTAACTGTACTCACAGTTCTACATGGCTGGGGAGGCCTCAAAATCACGGCAGAAGGCAAGGAGAAGCAAGTCACATTTTATGTGGATGGTGGCAGGCAAAGAGAATTTTTGCAGGGGAGCTCTTCTTTTTAAAACCACCAGATCTTGAGAGACTCATTCACTATCATGAGAATAGCGTGGGAAAGGCCCACCCCCATAATTCAATTACCTCCCACAGAGTTCCTCCCATGACACATGGGAATTGTGGGAGTTATAATTCAAGATGAGATATGGGTGAGGACACAGCCAAACCCTATTATGCATATTGGAGTATTTAAAGGATTCTCTGAGGCTCTGTTCATTTTCCTCCATTCTTTTTTCTCTCCATTCTTTGGATTACATAATTTCTACTGATTTATCTTCAATTTTGCTAATTCTTTCTTCACCGATTCCAATCATTTCTTCATCAACCCTAGTAAATATTTTATTTTAGTTATACTTTCAACTCCAGATTTTTTTCCAATAATTTTTCTCTATATTTTCTGAGGCAACGTAGTGATTACATCTTCCTTTGCTTCTTTAATCATTATTTCTTTTAGTTTTAGTTATTTGAAAATATTTATAATATCTAGATGTCTCTTCCTGTTAAATCCCACATCTGGTTGCTCTCATCAACAGCTTCTATTTCCTGCTTTTTCTAAGTGTATGATTATATTTTCTGGTTTTATTGCATGTCTCATAATTTTGTGTTGGAAAGTAGGCTTTTTAGATATTATATTGCACCAACACTTGGAATCCCCTCACCCCACTGAGAGGGTTGGCTTGTTATTGCTGCATGTTTGTCTATTTGTTTAGTGACTGGCTGAACTGGTCTATTATCTCTTCCCCCTTACCTCCCACCCCCACCCACCCCACTGCCTACCATGGCTATGTTTAACCTGGGATGATGCTCCTCAGGAAACTGCAGCTTAGTCACCTTGAAATGACCATTTTTTTGGCAGGGCTTTTTTTGCTGCTTTCCCTGACCACAACCAGCTGTGAAGCTCCAATAATTGCTGAGTGACTGTTCTATTGTTTTCAACAATTTTCTAAAGCCTAAATTGCTCTAGATATTAATTCAATCAAATTTACACTCCTTTGAAGGAACAACTCTTTAGGTCCACATTTGATATTCATGCTTTCCCCAGAAGGAATTCTCCCAGTAGGTTTTTCCCACTCTCTCTTGCAAACTGGTTGGGACAAATTTAGACCATACCTTCACCAAATCTGCTAATCACTTTTCAGTTGTACTCAACCTCAATGTCCACTGTTATTAAGCGTACCTATTGGCTTGGCCTTTACATCTTGCTGCAAATGAAGTCAGGACTTTGGGAAGAAATTAGGAGTTATCAGCTTTAGGTCCTGCTTCTTCCCCCAGGCAAAACCTTTGAGTCAGGGCTCTAGATCTGAGGGTGGGGACAATGCCACTCTTCAGTCTAAGTGATACCCATGCTTCAGGAACTGAGCACTCACTAGAGGCAGGCAGAAGCCTGAGGTCTTCTCTTTTTGCTTCTCCTGGCATAGAATCACCACTTTACAAGCAACGAAAAGCATGATCAGCGCCCTGTTGCAGCCGGATGGGTTCTTCTTGCCCACTGCACAGAATTACCCAATACGCAGAGACAGCAGGTGTTTGCAGTAAAGAAAGAGTTTAATAATTACAGATTCAGCTAAATGAGAACATGGGAGATAGTTCTCAATTCTGCCTTCCTAAGAATTCAGAAGTTAAAGTTTTTTTTTTAGGGATATTTTGACAGGCTAGGGAATGGGGAATGCTGACTGGTTGGGTCATAGGCAAAATCATAGGAGTGTCAAACCTGTCTTTGTGCGCTGAATCAGTTTCTGGGTGGGGTTCACAGGACCAGTTGAGTGAGTTCCTTGGTATGGGACACAAGTCTGGTTGGTGTCAGTTGGTTCATCAGAATGCAAGGTCTGAAAAATAACTTGAACATCAGTCTTAGGTGTTGCAATAGTGACCCTATCCATAGGAGTAATTTGGAGAAGTTTTCAATCTTGTAACCCCTAGTTAGGTGACTTTCTGAGCTGTAAGCAATTATGGAAAAGCAAACAAACAATGGCTGGTTATCACTGAACTTCTGCCTAAGTCTTAACAAAATTCAGGCCTTTACCACAATTCTAGCTTTGTAGGCTTTCATTAATGCTATATAGACAGTTTCAGTCCTAAAGCAAGGAAGGGACTAGTACTGAGAATAAACAATCTCATTATTATATTTGTTTTAAAATTAAGCTAGAAACCAAATTCCTCCCATAGTTAGCTTGGTCTACATACAGCAGTGAGCAACGTGGTCAACTTGTGAGTTTTGAAGAACAGTAAAGTGTTATGTTAAATTTCTCTCACTGTTATAATTTTGTCAAAAGCAGTTTCTGCCCCCATATTCTTAGTGATAATGTGCCAAAGACAGAGTGAGAGTTAGTTTTAGCAAAGGAGTCCCCACTTTTCAAGTGCACTTTCCCAAAACTCAGACTGAGCAGGCAGCTGGGGAAGGATGAGAAATTCTGACATCCTGCTCTTCCCAGGGAAAACAACAACAACAACAACAACAACAACAAAACCCTGTGATGGGGAGCAGGGTAGAAAGAAAGCACTGTGATCTCCAATGTAGTGGTTTGGGGTGGCATTATCAGCTGCAGGTGGGGATTGGGAAGAAGTAATTTTGTTTTAAATACCATTGACTCTGACTTTTCTTACCAAATTTTTGTTAATTTTCTTGACTGGATGTTTCTTCATTTATTGTATGCTCTTAAGATCATGTCCATGGCTTTAAATTGTTGTATCTTTTTAAAAAATATTTTTTATCAGTTTCACTAGGGAGAAGGTCCACAGAACGCCTCATATCAACATGCCAGAAGTTGGTCTGTATCTACTGTTTCTTAATATTATACACTTCCAGTCTTCAGCAAGCAGGTTAGTGTAGACATTATTTATTGTATCTAAAAGTCTAATCCTTTTCTCATTACCTTACCTTTGCTTATCCTGTCCTTTTACCCAATGTTTATATTTAGTCTTTTATAATTTTAGCGTCTACCTAGATCTTATCCATCTTTAAAATTGGGCCTCTTCCTCCAGCAAAGCTTCTATTGACAGCTCTAATGCGTGCTGGTTTTGATATTACTTTGTATATAATAATATAATTTTATTATTTAAAGCCCTATATAATTCACTAATTGTTGATATATGTACTTGTTACCTGAATTAAATTATAAGCCCTTTCCAGGTGAGAACATGATTTAAACTTCTCTTGAATTATACTATATGAAAGTATGTGGAAGTGAATGACTTTGTCAGACATCATTGAACTATGTGAATCAAGTCACCATAGCACTTCAGTTTTAGAATGTTAAACACGTGATTAATAACATGGATATTAATATCTACCTCTTTATATATGTGCTTTTATATACATATATGTCCAGATCCAGGAGAAACAAGGAAATATGGTGTTTTCTGGAAAATAGAATATGTCAAGAAGAGATTTGTTGAAAATAAATCAAACGGAGTGATTTAGGTATTTGAATTTTATGGCATGTTTAGGAATTGTATTAAACTTCTGTGGAAAAAAACAAGAAACATATCGATGCAGATAAACAGATATAAAGGTCTAGAAAAAAAATTTATTAAACTTGATTAAGTCATCTTAACAAATGAGGATCAGAGAGATACTTTTTCTCTAATTAGTTTAGTTTAGATATAATAGAAGGATGGAAATTACCTGGGTTTAAATGCATGTTTCTTTAAAAGATATTCTGTACAAATTATAATCAAGATATATATTTCGTGTAGTTTTTTGTTTGTTTGTTTGTTTTGAGATGGAGTCTCCCTCTGTCGCCCAGACAGGAGTGCAGTGGCACGATCTCGGCTCACTGCAGGCTCCACCTCCCGGGTTCACGCCATTCTCCTGCCTCAGCCTCCCAAGTAGCTGGGACTACAGGCGCCCACCACCACTCCCAGCTAATTTTTTATTTTTATTTTTTTTTTAGTAGAGACGGGTTTTCACCGTGTTAGCAGGATAGTCTCAATCTCCTGACCTCGTGATCCACCCCGCTTCGGCCTCCCAAAGTGCTAGGATTACAGGTGTAAGCCACCGCACCCGGCCAAATTTGGGTGTGTATGTGTGAGTGTGTGTCTGTGTGTGCATGTAGATTTATTTTACTTAACAATTCATCATTTTGCTGTTTCTTATAGTCATGGAGGAGAGATTTTCTTTCTAACATAATATAGGACCAGAAGCCATGAAAGTAAGTGTTAAATAAAGTTTATATTTTTTAAATTATATATATATAATTTATATATAATATATAACAATATTATAAATAAATATGATTTATAAACGTTAATGTTTTATATAAAATATATATTATCTATGGAATTTTTATATTATACATTTATTATATATAATATATGTAATGTTCTAAAAATTTATAGCATAAAAATGACTATAGAAGTCAAACATACGTGAAGATTTGCATAAAAAAGTGTTACAAATATGACAATGGAATGGTTTCCTTAATATACAAAGATTGTTTTTAATAAATACATAAGCAAGAAAATTAACCAATAGAGAAATGTCAAGACCATAATGGTAAATTTCATTAGGTTTTCACAATAATTTTTTTTTCTCTCCGCGTTTTTTTCCATGCCTTTATACGCCATTGAACTTGGTCTTGGCTATGTGATCTATTTTTTCAATCTAATTTAAAAGGATATATTGTCACAACTCCAAAGTCCCCATCTGAACAGACACTTTAGATGTTATTGTGTATCTTGACAGGTATCTTCTTGCTCTGCTCCCCAGTCATGAGAACTAGAAATTGTAGATAGTGACTATGCCTGTTACCTGTGTTTCAAAATGAGAAGATTTACAGAGCTAAGCCCAGCAAAGCCAGAGTAGACCATGTATTTATGTAACATGAGCAAGAAACAAATGTGTTTTGTCACAAAATACTGAGATATGGGATTGTTTGTTATCACAGTAAAAGCTGATTTATGTAATTTCAAACTCCAAGTTCAAAGAAAAATAAATACGAATAGCTAGTTAATAGAGGAAAATATGCTCAACTTCACTCACTTTACATAATTCAAATTAAAATACCAATGAGATATATATATTTTGAAACACTAACCAATTAAGCTAGGGTTTATAACCAATGTTGACAAAACTCTAGAAGAATTAAGCATTCACAAACATTTTTGTGGAAGTTTAAATTCGTTCAATCTTTTATTTTAAAAGTGTATACCATAAGAGCTAGCAATTCCATATTTGGGAATTCATCCACCCATAATTTCAAACATATACACGAAGATATATGTGAAGTGCTACTCATTACATAGTTCGTTTAATAAATACAAAAGAAGAATAATGAAAAAGGAAGAGAAGAAGGAAAGTTAAAGGAATAGGAGAATGGTTAAATATATTAGGCATTAACTATACTATGGAAAAAGATATAGCATATAATATGCTGTTAATTTTTAAAATCAAATTGCACAACAGTGTGACAATATAATCTCATTTATTTGTGAAACCTTGATACGTGCAAATAAATTATCTGAAAAGATGCTTAAGAAATTGTTTTAAAGTATTTACATTCAGGGAATGGTCTTATGACGCTGCTAGTGCCATTGTGAAGTAACTTCTACTTATTACCAATTGTTGTTCTAAATGAATATTTATATTATGTATTATTTTCACAATTTAAAACCAAGTTTAAAGGTAAAATGAAATGAAATTAAAATGTGTTTAAAAATAAGTTTGAGCTGAGTTGATAAATTTGGATCTCACATCAGCAGGCTCACTATCCTGTACCCATGAGACTGCCGCCACCTGTGGCAGAAAGCATAAATTGAAGATGAAGGCATTAAAAGGTGAAAAAGCAACAGAAAAAAGGTTCTGTAGCTGAAAATAGGTAATTGCTATTAGAGCAAATCACCTGGAATCATGTGACAACTTTGGTGTTGTTCAAAATAAACATGGAGATTTGTTTGTGGATTCATATAGTATTAGAGAAACAGGTAAAGTAAATATTGTCTCCAAGATCCTGTTTCTCTAAGTTTCAAACACTGTGCGTAAAAGAAAGCAAATTGTAACTCACGACTGGCCTCATTTTCATGGATCTCACTTTTTTCTAGTTCAGAGAGTTTGCTTGTATTATTTATTTAAAATCAAATAAGACAGTGTCAGGAATTTCTTCTCTTTGCTTTTTAGGCTATGATTTTTGCATTCAAATGGCTTTCATTATTGTATAAAACTAGACAAAGTCAGTTAAGAAGAGACATTCAAACAGGTGTTTTCCTATAGGCATATAGAGTCTCCAGATTTTTCCCTTTCATCCCTCATGGCTAGATTCCCCAGGCCCTGCTGAGTCAGGTTCAGTTAGCTTAGAACATTTTCAATTCTGTGTACCCATCACTGATGGAATCATTGAGTAATGAATAAAGGGAACCAAAGGGAGTAGTTTCAGGCTTCAGTTTCTGTCACAGAGAAAAATTAATCACAAATTGTTAGATACAGGAACATCATTTATAAAACTGTGATTTAAAAGGGCACAATCAACTAATTGAAGCCAGAAAAGAAATGCCTAAATAATGTATAAAGTAGATATCTTGGCGGAAACTATATTTTAATCATTTTTAAATAGTTTTTTTTTCCTTCCGTGGCTTAACATATTCCCAAGAAGTAATGACACAGAAAAAATAGGGATCCCTATAAAGCTGATGAGGAAAAATTAAGGCCAAAATCTCAAAAGTACCACAAAAACAGAAACTAACCAACCAAGCACAGTGACAATCATGTGAAACTCGTGTTTATTATATAATTCATATTATAAATGTATGAAAGGAAATATGGCATAATAGATATTTAAACTGGGTACTAGTCTAAGTTATAGCAATCATATTTACACATAGAACCCAGACTGATTCATATGTATCTCCTCTCACAAATAAAGAGGAAAATGGAACCAAAATTTGAATAAAACTTTTGCTAGATTTAGGGCTGTGCTGCTGGGATGTTAATCTTTGACTCCAGGACTTCAACATGAGTACTCTGGGAACATAATATTATATGCCAAGAGTTATACTAGCATTATAAATAAATAGCCCTGTAGCACTCACTCATAAGAAAACAATCTGATGTTTATGTTGACGTTCATACAAGTTATATTAGTTATCTATTAATGTGCAAAACAGTACCCTAGACATTAATACTAAAAACAACACACATTTATTCTCTCACCATTCCTACAGATCAGAAATCGGGGAATTGCCCTGTTGAGTCTTTTACTTCAAGGTTTCTTAAAAGACTGCAATGAATGTGCATGCCTGTGTTGCCAGGGCTGGGGAGTCATCTCAAGGCTTCACTGGGTACAAGTTTTCTTCCATGCTAATTTAGGTGGTTGTTGGTAGTATTCAGTTTTTCAACAGATGTTGAATGGAGAATCTTTTTGCTAATAGCTATTGGCCAAAAGTGGCCCTCAGACAATTATCACATGTGCTTCTCAAATATAGTAACTTGTTTTATCAAAGCCAGCAAGGGACAGTGTTACTAGCAAGGTAGAAGTCACCATCTTTGTAGCAATCATGGAAGTAGTAACTCATCAACTTTGCTATATTATGTTGGTTGGAAGAAAGTCACTATATTCAGGCCCCTCTGAAGGAGAAGGAATTTCAAAATGGTTTGAAAACTAGGAGGTTGAGAATCACTATAGGCCATATTACAAGTCTGTCTGTCACAGATTGTTTCAAACTAAAAGTGATTTTTCTTCTCTGAAGATATATGGCACCCTGCCCGTACATTTCTGGATGCTTTTGACAAATTTGCTGAATAGAAAATCTAATGATGATGTTAGTTTTATTAGAAAAAAAATAATAAACATGAAAAAACAATTTTTTTCTGGTAAAACATAATTTGACTAATCTCATTTTTCTAATTTATTATAATCTCTCTGTTGTCACTAGTTGTGATTAAATGTCCATTAATAAAATAAAATCAGCAATGGCAAAGGATACTATAATACTTACTGAAGCAGCAAAACCATCCTCTCAATAGTTATAGCCGTTTAGAATTTTGTCAAAATAATAAAGCAAACAAAAATCGATTTGGCTTCCCAAATTGTATAGAATTTTATTAATCTCATGTTGCCTAATCTTAACAAGCAAGCTTAACTCTATGTCAAGACTGACCAAAGGAAAAAGAAATTAGAAAATATTTATAACTAAGTGCAGTCTCCATTTTCAATGTTATCATCCACTCCATTCTGTTTCCTCTGCTCACTTTAATTATTCAAAAATCACGACAACTTGAGTTATGAATTAAGAAGCGGAGGCTGACTGAAGTTTGCCCTTCAGAAACCTCATCTTCTTGGCATTCCCTCATCTATGACAACAATAATTAGACACCCAGTTACAACTCTTCAAGACTTCACTGATTTTTATAATATTTTTAACTTCTCATGAAACTTATGAGACCTGAAATTGGAAATGAAGAAGTAGCTAAGAATTTTCCTCCATTAGGATAATGGGACCCAAATAGTTCCCCTGGATGACCACCAAAGAGAACCACTTCATAAAACCAAGGTGAATAACATAACATCACCACCCATGAGGCGGTAAGGAGATACAGAGTTTTGATTTCCTGAGTTATAGGTTGTCTAAGGAAGCACAACTAAGTAGATTCAGAGAAAAAAAGAAAGTCTTATTGACATATGAATTGACATATGAATATATTTTTTGAAACCAACTACAGATAGAAGGGCCATTTAAAATGTCATAATTGAATGGCAAAAAATTAAAGACAAAGGAGGGAAAGCATAAAATTAAATTTAAATGATAAAAATAAATCTAAATATTGTACAGTCATCATCCCCTGGTATCCATGAGTGATTTGTTTCAGGACCTCACTTGGATACCAGAATTTGTTGATGCTCAAGTCCCTGAAATAAAATGGCTTAGCATTTTCATATAACCTATGCACATCCTCCCAAGTATATACTTTAAAGTACCACTATATTACTAATAATTTCTAGTACAATGTAATTGCTATGTAAATAGTTGTTATGCTGTATTGCTTAGGGAAAAATTACAGGAAGAAAAACTTTGTATGCATTCAGTAGAGACACAATTTATTTCCAGTATTTTCAATTCATGTTCAGTTAAATCCATGGATGAGAACCCATGGATACAGAGGGCCAACTGTATACAGTATACAAGAACTGACTTAGTCCATTTTGTGTTGCTATAATAGAGTGCCACAACTGGGTAAAATTATTGTCAAAAAGAAATGTATTTATCAAGTTTTGGACACCAGGAAGTCTAATATCAAGGTGTTAGCATCTGGCAATAGCCTTGTTGCTGTATCATCCCATGGTGGAAGGTAAGAGAACAGGAGGGAAGAGGACCGAATTCATCCTTTTATGAAGAACCCATTTCCATGAAAACTCACCCACTCCCACTTAAAAAAAAAAATGGTGTTAACTCATTTATAAGGGTGGAGCACTCATGACCAAATCACTTCTTAGAGGTCCCACTTATGAACACTGTTAATTTGGGGATTAACTCGCCAACACATAAACTGTAGCAGACACATTAAAAGTATAGCAGAAACTGTACTTTTATATTTTTATATTGTGTATAACTTTTTTACTGTGAAAAGTCAAATATTTCTAATTAGATTTTTAAAATTCATACGCTTCTACCTTCAAATCAAAATCAAAAGTCAAATTGAAAATAATATATAAAAGTGTTGAGAAAATATATCTGTCAACCACTTAACAGTTAATGCTAGTATGGAAATATTCATGCCACATTATAATATTTATTACCTAAAAAGAATGAATATTACACAATTATTACAAATTATTGGTTACCAATTACATAATTGTTACCAATAACAATTATACCAATTACATAATTGTTACCAATAACAATTGGTAATAAGTTGTTTCTATTTATCATTAGAAATAATCTAATTTGTTACTAGGAATAGCTTTATTTACTAAAGATAATGAATATTACATAATTGTTACCAATAACAATTATGGTAAAAACAATTATTGTTAACAATTATGTAATATTCATTATCTTTAGTTAATAAATTGTTACCAATAACAATTGTTATATTCATTATCTTTAGTTAATAAATAAAGCTATTCCTAGTAACAAATTAGATTGTTTCTAATGATAAATAGAAACAACTTATTAGAAGACAATTCACCAATGGTCTCTTGAATTTTTGCACAGCTTACAGAGGTACTGAGAGCATTATTTCTCAACTATCTATCTTTTTAAAGAGGTTTGTATAGAAAACAGGTTTGGAAAACAGAGATACGCTATTTTTCCAGAGCAGAGGTAGGTTTGTTTACTGCTGAGTAGAATAAAAGTTAACAACTCCCTCTACAGAAGAATTTGGATTTATTTGCTTGCAGCACATTATAAAAGACTAGGGTCTCTTAAGTTTGCAATTCTCTTATAACACATTTTAATGCTCACGTAGGCATTATTGGGCCCTTGTAACATCACTGTATGGGAATTTGAGATCTGGGAACAGGCATAAGAATATGAAAATGTTGTGACTGCTGCTATTGTTGTGAATAATAAACTTTCCATTTGCTCTAAACCAGGAGTCTTGTGTCTTCTGGATTTTAACAACTTTTGAGCTTGCATGCAGAGTAAATTTTAGTTGCTTTACAATTCTTGACACAACCAGTCAATAATACATTGCAGTAATAAACATATATGCACTCAATAATATAGCCTCGAAATATATATTGAAAATACTGACAGAATATTAAGAAGCAACAGATAAATTATCAATCATAAAACTTAAATGTACATATCTCAGAAACTGATAGATCAAGCTGTTTAATACTTGCTAATGATTAATCAAAAAAATTCAAAGAAAGCCAAAGCTACTATACATGTTCATGGTTATGTATTCATGTAATCAACAATGTTGAAGTGCATGTGGATATTTACAAATATTTGCCACATACTACATTGCATAGAAAATTTAAAACAAAACTAAATGAATTTAAACCATGCATACTGCACTGAATCTCCATGTAATTAATTTTCCAACAATTAAAAGCTTGTAAAAATGGAATTTTAAAAGAATGACAATTTTTAAATGCTTAGAATTAAGTAATAAGCAAATTCTGCATCAAAGAACTTGTGACACAGTTTAAGTGATACTTAAAAATATATTTGCAGTCTTTCTTTAAAAAATGATTGCTTATTTGGCAACTATTCAAGAGCCTAGATTAATGACATAAAAGTAAGGGAAAGGTACACAAAAAGAAGAGAATACACAAACAGCAAATTTTAATATTCAATAAACAGAAGAATGAAAAAAATAAGCATTTAAATATGATTATTTGAAACTTGTAAGAAAATAAATTTTTAAATGGAATTCAGTATAAACATAGAGAGATTAGTACATCAATATTTTTAAAAGATGTGTAAGTGATGAACACTTTTATATCAATGAATTTGACACTTTTGACAAAACAAAAATTTTTCCAGAATAGTAGTTTTCAAACATTTTGGTTTCAGGAACTCTATGATTTTAAAAATTGAGGACCTCAAAGAGCTTGTATTTATGCAGGCTTATATATCAACATTTATCACTTAAAAATTAAAGCAATGTTAAAATGTGCCTTTATTAATATATTTTAAAATATAACAATAACAAGCTCACTGCATGCTAATATAAATATAAACTACATGAGATAACTATAGCAAAAGAAACAAAAAAGTAGAATAGTGCATGTTTCTTTAAACTTTCGCTTGATACTACATTAAATCTGCTACAATACCACTCTTTCATCTCTGAAATTCTGAAACCTTTCACTATACACTTGTGAAAAAATGAGAGTAAAAACAATAATATTTCAGTATAGTGTAATTACACAACTGTTTTTTACTTCATGAACTCCCTGAAAGTTTCTCCAGGAACCACAGGAGTTTTTAGACCATAATTTGAGACAAGATCTTTTATTAAAAAAATAGAAACAAATTTGAATCAAGAAAAAATAGAAAACATTACTAAATCTGTCACCATTAAAGTACAAAGTCAGCAATTAAAACCTTGGGCCAATCCCACTCACAAAAGGAATGGGAACAGGGAATACACTGCATCTAGACAAATTTTACCAATCTATCTAGAACAGGTAATCCAAAACTTGCAGCAAATAGAAAAAAAAGGAAAGTAAGGACCCTATGTGCTTCATCCTAACTCAGGCAAGTTATTTTTAAAGAAAGCAAATTTCAGCTATCTCACTACTAGACCTGGTAATTCATTGGGGTTGCTGAATACAAGATCATCATATAAAAATGAAAAGCTTTCACATATACCACCGATTTTCTCTATTTCAGTATTGAACAGGAAAAAAGAATACCATTTATAAAGGCAATATAAAATTTAGGCTATCTGGGTAGAAACCTAACAAAGAGTGCCCTTTTATAAAGAAAATTAAAACACATTGTTAAAGGATATAAATATCTGAAAAAAGTACTATGTTCTATTATGGGAGGACTTTATATTTTAAATCACAATCAATTCTTGGCAGATTATTTCACGCATTATTGCATTTACATTCGCCTTTCAACTTTATTTTTATTCAACAAAACTTTTTACAAACTTATTTCTAAAAGCCTGCTGTTCAATGTCAAAATCTACATGCTTTAGATAAAATTCAGAATCTAGGTCCCATTCCAGACCTACTAAATCACCTAGATCACAGGTGCATTTAAAACACTCTCAAAAAAAAAAAGGAGGACCCTTGACCTACCAGATACCAGGACTCACTATTACCAGGATGGCAGTCAAGGTAAAGTGGCCTTGATGTACTACATAGATGAACAATAAACCAAAATTGACTAATTGACCAAAATAGACAATTGGAATAACCCTATTTTACATATAGTCCATTTTCACGCTGCTGATAAATACATACCTGAGACTGGGTAACTTCTAAAGAAAAATAGGTTTCATGGACTCACAGTTCCACGTGGTTGGGAGGCCTCAAGATCATGGTGGAAGGCAAAAGGCCCGTCTTACATGGTGGCAGACAAGACAGAATGAGAGCCAAATGAAAGGGGAAACCCCTTATAAACTCATCAGACCTCGTGAGACTTACTCACTACCACAAGAATGGTATGGGGGAAACTGCAGCCATGATTCAATTATCTCCCACAGAGTCCCTCCCACAACCCATGGGAATTATGGGAGCTACAATTGAAGATGAGGTTTGGGTGGGGACACAGCCAAACCATATCACATAGCATCATGGTATGGCATCATGGTAAAAGATATATGAAGCATTAAAAATCAGTGGTGACAGAGTCATCCCTTCAGTAAATGTTTTTGGATCAATGTATTCTCATTTCATAGATGCATATATTTTTATATATACTATATGGGTCAAATGCCATAAGTAATTATAAGTAATTACATAAATAATAGCAATTGTTTATGAGCTTGGTAGAAGGCAGGAATACTATATGTCTTACTCAGCTCAGGATGCCATAACAAAATACCATCTATTGGGTGGCTTAGACAATAGAAATTTCTTTTTCTCATGGTACTGTAGGCAAGAAGTTCAAGATGAAAGTTTCGGCTGATTCAGTTTTTTGATGAGGGCTGTCTTCCTGGCTTGCACACAGCCACTTCGGCTTCACATGACCTTTCCTCTTAGCCCAAGTAGGAGAAGAAGGGAAGAGAGAAAAAGAGAGAGAGAGAGAGCGAGAGAGAGAAAGGTCTCTTCCTCTTACTATAAGGCCACTGATCCTATCAAATTATGTTCCCACCTGGTTTAGACTGAATTTTTTTTCTTCCCAAAATTCATATGTTGAAGTCCTTACCCCTAAATAACAGTGACTTTTATTTGTAGATAGGGCATTTACAAAAATAGTTAAGATTAAACGAGTCCATAAGAGCTGCACCCTAATCTGACAGAACTAGTGTCCCTATAAGTGACATCAGAGAGCTCGACCTCTCTCTGCCTGTGAACAAGAGGTCATGTGAGGAGCGCACAGTGAGATGTAAGCCACCTACTGTTAAAGGGAAAAAAATTATTCAATGGTACTTGTTAAAACATGGTAAGGAAGACTTCATTAAGGACCATCACAATAGATACAGTGACCACTGCAATGGGGTGTGGGAAAGATTAGGCTCAACGCTGAATATAGTATTGGCAAATGGGAATTTATAGTCGAAGAGCCGTGTGGGTGTCAGTAGATGGGAAATTGCTAAGAGGAAATATCGGGGTGAACTGGATTCTGGCTTAACCAACTAAACAGGATTCTTGCCGAAGACAGGCCAGGGTAATCAGACATCATCTGGGATGATGGTGGAGGATAAGGAACCTAATCAGATACTGAAGATGGGGGATTAGCTAAACTGATTTAGCAGGGTTCTTTGCTAAAACTGAATTGTACAAGGAAGTGCAAAGGTGGACCTAGGAGAAGCTCAGAAGACTAATTAAAATTTGGACAAGCAAAAAGTCTTTATCACCGCAAGCCAAGAGGAGAGGCGTCAGAATATACCCTATCTTGCCATCCGCTTGATCCTGGGCTTTCCAGGTTCCTTCTGGTGGGTTCTTGGTCTCACTGACTTTAAGAAAGAAGCCGCGGACCCTCACGGTGAGTGTTACAGTTCTTAAAGATGGTGTGTCCGGAGATTGTTCGTTCAGATGTGTCCAGAGTTTCTTCCTTCCAGTGGGTTTGTGCTCTCGCTGACTTCAGGAGTGAAGCCGCAGACCTTCACAGTGTTACGGCTCTTAAAGGTGGCGCGTCTGGAGTTGTTTGTTCCTCCCGGTGCGTTTGTGGTTTCGCTGACTTCAGGAGTGAAGCTGCAGACCTTCGTAGTGAGTGTTACAGCTCGTAAAGGGACCCAGAGTGTGCTGTGGCAAGATTTATTATGAAGGGCAAAAGAACAAAGCTTCCACAACAGGGAAGGGGACCCCAGTGGGTTGCTGCTGCTGGCTTGGGTGGCCAGCGTTTATTCCCTTATTTGGCCCCATCCTGCTGATTGGTCCATTTTACAGAGTGCTGATTGGTCCATTTTACAGACTGCTGATTGGTTTGCTTTTACAGAGTGCTGACTGGTGCATTTACAAACCTTTAGCTAGACAGAGAGAGCTGATGGGTGTGTTTACAATCCTTTAGCTAGACAAAAAAGTTCTCCAAGTCGCCACCTGACCCAGAAGCCCAGCCGGCTTCACCTCTCAAGAATGTACCCTATCTTGCCATCCCTTTGATCTTGGGCTTTCCAGCTTCCAGAATTGTGGTAAACTTTTGTTGTTTAAGCCACTAGGTCTGTGGTATTTTGTTATAGCAGCCTGAGCAGATTAAATCACCATTGTTTTCACCTCATTTAATCTTAATTACCTCCCAGAGGTCCTCCTATGTCTTAATATAGTCACATTAAAGGTTAGGGATTTAACATATGAATTTAAAGAGAAAACAATTCAGTCTGTAGCACTCTACAAGACACAAAGCATACAAAGCAAAACCAGAAGACTGGCTAAATATGATGGCATTAAAAATTTTCCATTTGACAAGTATACTGTAAACAAAACTAGAGTACTAGCCATAGACTTGGAGGACATAACTTGATCATTTATAATAAATGAAAAGATACTGAGAAAATATAAGTAACTGCTACAAATCAATAATGAAAGAAATAGCTCAAAAGGAAATATGTGCAAAGGGTATAAACAGGAATTAGTATACAAGGAAGCACAATGGCCAATAAACATATGAAAAGGCTCACAACCTTTTTGCATTTCTGTAGGGAAATGCAAATTTTGAAAAATGAGATTCTTTTCATATTCAGGTGATTAGCAAAGTAAAAATGAATCTGGCCATATTAAGTATTTGTTGGATGTTGGGAAAAGAAAACTCCCATACACCTTTTGTTGAATGGTATATTGGTAAAATCATTCAGGATAAAAGTTTCAATCTTTATAGGATAATTGAACACATGCATAGTCTGTGATAGAACCATTACACTTTTATTATATACCCTACTGAAATTCTCTCACCTATAAAGAAGACATGCAGAGCTATAAGCCCTGACATAATTTTTGGAGCGAAAAATTGAAACTAATCCAAACATCTCCATCAGTAGAGAAATAGATACATAAATTGTGGTCTCTTTATACAATGGAATACTACAGAGCATTTAAAAGAAGCCATGTAGACTCTCTGTAAGCCAACATGAATATGCTTAAATGCAGAATGTTGAATAAAAAAAAAAAGCAAGTCATGGCATCATACCTAGAACAAGATAAATTTTATATAACTTCTGTGATGGGGAAGGCATTAAGGATAATAAAAACCAAGAGTGTGAATTACCTACTCCATTCCTGCTTTCAAGGACAATCTTGAAATTTTATATTTTATTATTTAAGAGAAAAGCTTTCTGGGTAAATACAAAAGGAGTGGTGGAAGTGAGGATAATATATCTACACTAGTCTCAGATTAGCTTTTCTTGGCTGCCTGGAATATAACCACATCACTTATGCATAATAGAGATGTACAGGTAGTCCAGTTGCTGACCTCAAGACTAATGGAATTCAGAGAGCAAAGGCCAATAGGGTGTGCTGACCCCTCTCCCGTTAGTTAGACACATTTAATCACACTGAAGGCACGCTCTGATAGGTATAACCTTTCAGAACTCCCATCCCTAGATATGTCTGTGATGATCTGGTCCTTCCAAATGGACCATCTCATATATTATACTTGACCCTCATGATTTAATGAGGTGTTTCCTGAATATAAAGTACTTTCAGAGAGGTATTAATTCTTCAGAGCCCTAGAAAAGCCTTGAAATGGAGGCTAGGATTGATTGGTTTGTGGTTGGCCAGGTGGTTGAGCAAGAGGGAGAATCCCATGGCGACCAGGTAAATAGACCGGATCTGCTCTCAGCAGCTGCAGCAACTAGGGAAGTGACTATATAACAGGCTCCTCAACCTGCTGCTCTGGCTCCCTGCCAACTCCAGGGAACTAGAACAACTTTCAAGTAATGGAAATCTCCCCAGCTTGTTGGAGGAGCTATTTACATTTTAAACAGCCTACTCTACCCCTCCCCAACCAGTAGCTTTGTAAACAAGTGAGTCTGAAGGAGACCAGTGAGAATAGATGAGTGTTTCCTCTGATAGGTATTGTCTTTATTTCAAGTCTCAAGGCCTCTTCCAGGCCATATTATTACCAATTACTCTTCTAATGCAAATCTTTAATCATAGCCATCTATATAACTAAAACACCTCTGACATGTCCAAATTTAAGCCTAGCATTCTGCATACCACCTGGTCACACAACTCATTTTTAGCCTGCCACTATGTTCCTATCAACCCTGATTCCTCTTACAGCACCAATAATAACATATTATGCAGATGTCTGGAATTCGTTTAAGTTCTAATTGACAGAATACTTGAACTTGCCTGAAAAGATAAACACTAAATAAACGGTATTTATACCTTTATCTGCTGTTGGCATTTCTGTAAATGTTTAGAAGAGAAAAATTTCAATCACTGAATAATTTTTTATGTAAATGATAAAGGCTAGTTTTTTGTTTAATTTCAAATATTAGTTTGAAAAGCTTTCATTAAAAAATTCAAACCTTTATACTAAACCAATTGTATTTATTTTCTTAATAATTGAATATACAATGTTAGTAACAGGGTTTTAAAAATATATATTAAATATTTGAAAATTTAACACAAAAAAGATTGTTGAAATTTATGTTTTATGTTTATAATAATGAATAGTTTTGTATTGGTTTTTGTCACATACATTGCTTATCCATAATTTTAGACGACTCTATCAAATTATGCAAAAATAGTTGCATCAAACAAATTTGAGGAAATGTAAGAAAGAAGCCATAACCTAATGGCCTTTTTTTTCTAACTTCTTAAGATTATTTTATTGAAAGAAATACTGCCTTGTTATGGTGTCACTGAGAGGAAATGTCAATAAACTTCATAGGAACTTTTATTTTGCCTATACCTGAAGAAATTTGCCAAACATTAGAAATTACTCTTGATTTATAATTTATTTCCTCTTATATTTACCAGCCAGTTTCTTTTTTTAAAAAAAAAAAAACGAAGTCAGAGCCTCACTCCATCATCCAGACTGGAGTGCAGTGGCACCATCTCGGCTCACTGCAACCTCTGCCTCCTGGGTTCAAGCAATTCTCCTGCCTCAGCCTCCTGAGGAGTTGGGATTATAGGTACATACCACCACACCTGGCTAATTTTGGTATTTTTAGTAGAGACAGGGTTTCACCATGTTTGTCAGGCTGGTCTTGAACTCCTGACCTCAAATGATCTGATCTCAGCCTCCCAAAGTGATCATGAATGCCATTAGCATTTCTTAAACATTATAATTTATTATTTTCGCTTCACTTAAACATCACCTATCTTGCTTTTCTAAAATAAAAATATAAATAACATTACCCTAATACCATAATTTTCCTCTGCCTTCTCTGTTTTAAAAAATTCATACTAAATAGAACCAAAGTAATAACATGTTTTCTATATTGTGAACATTTAACAGGAATTTTACATCTTTCTGACAAATATATTGCCTCTAAATATAAACTTTAAATCTTTTACTTTTATGCTGCATGGTACAGAGAACTTAAAATGCTATACCCCATTGCTGCCAGACTGATTTGTTTTGAACATTTTACTATTAGAGCTGTATTTGCAAATTTGGACTCTTACGTTCTACTTCTTGTTTGTTTTCAGATGTTGAGGGCTTTTTCTTTAATATTAACCATCATTAAGAGCTAAAAATAAAAAAACCCTACTCTGTGTTTTGCCCAATTATAGAAACTACTTTTCTTAATAATATTGTAGTCTAATAGGAGAACTATTATGTATATGTGTGTGTGTGTGTGTGTGTGTGTATATATATATATATATATATATGAAAGACAATTTAATAGAATTAAATGATATAAGCTTGTATTTCAAAACAAGAATGGGTCAATTGATCTAATTAAAAGCTTCAGCCTGAACCCTTCCTGTGCAAAGTGTTTTTATAAAATAACTGGGAAAGATTGTTACAATATAATTATAGAAACAGGATTAGGTCCAAGGTGGCAAAATAAGTTAAGCATCTTCCATTCCTGACATAAAATATTAAGAACCAAAGTGTATACACATGAAATTAACATTAATTTGACAGAAGGGAAAGTGAAGTTTTCAAGAAGAAAAAGCTTATGGATAGATCTTAAAAGATTAGTACTACAGATAAAAAGAAAGTAACCCAGGGGAAGGAATGGTAAAACTTCAGAGACTCAACTAAGCATAGTTGATTTAAAGAGGTGTGGGCTAGAGATCTGGTTAAAGCAGATTTACATTGGGTACCACTAGGAGATAAACCCTAGATAGGAATTTTAGAAAAAGATTAAAAGCCAGATGTGAACATTTGAGTTTATCTCATATAAAAGGTCAATATATGAATAAATGAAAAATAACTACAAAACATTTATAATGATCATTTGAAGGAGAATAAAATAGAAGAAAGGAGACCACTTGGAAACGATATGGCCATTAAAAGTGTTAGCTAACTAGGAATAGAATTAGGGTTATGGCCCTGAAAATGGAAAATAATTAGTACATTACTATTGTTTTCTGCCTTTTATCTGGGAAATTATGTTTAATGTCTGAAAAAAATTACTGATTTGACATGAGTGTAGAACATGGAATTTTGTATTTAAAATAAACATTTGTGATTATGACATTAAGGGCATTGTTAGCTGCTATAATAAACTCAACTGTTTTATGGACTATATACCACAGATTACTATTTTACACTCAGGTTAAATAACTGCTTAGATGTTGCTGGTGGGTGAATGGCTTTCTTCCACATGGTAATTCAGAGAAATGAGCTGTTTCATCTTTTAGCTGTATTCCCCACTACAGCCTTGAAGTTCTCTAAATTCATCCAGAAAATAAATAAAGGAAATGTGGAAGGGACACATTTTCTTCTTGAACTTCAGCTCAGAAGTGATATAAATGACTTTCAACTATATTGCAATGGAATGTGCCCTAGATGCAAGTATGGAAAATATAGTCTCTGATTGGGTAGCTACTTCTCTGCAACAACTCTCTCTATGTGAAAAAGGGTGTATGATTGTGGTGGCTACCATTTCATCACTACTAAGGAGACTATCTAGCCTGTTCAAAATTTGCCAATAATAATTTTGAGGCTTAAAGAAATTAGCCAAATATCCCAAATTACATAACTGTTGTCAAAAATCTAGACTGCTAACTCCAGTCATTGATTTATTCATTCATTCATTGACTATTTACATGGTTTTAATCATGGGCCAGGCACTGTGATGGGTGCTATGGACAATTTGTTGAAACAATGCGAAAATCACATTTGGACTGAATGGCCACTCTGCTTTTCCATATTAAGTTGCACATATTTAAATCATTTCCATGAATTTGTTCAAAAACTACAACTCCTAATCTGTCTTTTAATTACTAGCTGAATATTTAGATTTAAAGTCAGCAAAGTTGGTGTAGATTAATACATAACTCTGATACTGAATGACTCTACGGACCTAAGTACTTTAATATATTTATGCCTCACTTTCTTCATTTTGAAAACTGAAATGTTATTAGTAACTACTTCATTAATTCATGTATTTAACACAAATTTATTGAGCACTGTATTAGTCTGTTCTCATGCTGCTAATAAAGACATGCCCAAGACTGGGTAATTTATAAAGGAAAGAGGTTTAATGGACTCACAGTTCCACATGGCTGGAGAGGCCTCACAATCATGGTGGAAGGCAAAGGAGAAGCAAAGACATGTCTTACATGGCGGCAGGCAAGAGATAGCTTGTGAAATGGAACTCCCATTTATAAAACCATCAGATCTTGTGAGATTTATTCACTACCACAAGAACAGTATGGGGGAACTGCCCCCATCATTCAATTATCTCCACCTAGCTCCTCCCATGTCATGCAGAGATTATTGCAAATTAAGGTGAGATTTGGATGTGGATACAGCCAAACCATATCAAGCACCTACGATGAGCACTTATGATATGCTAGTTCTAAGACTATATGAGAAAATAATTCAGGCTATATCATTAGGTTCTTAGCACTTCAATTATATATACTATATCAGATGTTATTGAATAATAATATCAGATGTTATAGAAAAATAAAGCATAGTAATGGATATAGGGAGGATTGCTGTTTTAAATAGGGTGGTCATGAAATATCACTCTGGTGGTAAGTTGACATTTGAGTATACATCAGAAGAAAATAAGAGAACAAGCCATGTAGTAAGCTGGCAGAATATTGTTCCAGAGAGTCCAACAAATGCAAAGATTATAGAACAGAAATATACTTGGTGTCTTTGAGGAACAGGAAGGAAACTACTGTTTCTGAGTCTGAAGTTATAAAAAGAGTAAGAACTGATCAAGATACAGCCTTAATGTTCCCCTCAACTTGACTAAATTTTAGGCAGGCTTCTTCCTGACTTAAGGCCCCTGACTCTTCTTAGAGCATTTCTTTAAAAAAAAAAAAAAAAAAACTTCCAGTTGTATGTTCTTTCCCTGCCCCTTTGAAATGTATATAAACCTTTGCCCAGCATCTCGCCAGTTTTAAAACCCAAGAAATGTCTTTGTCAAGGACCTGGGAGGCATCTCATTGATGTGTAAACTTAGAAGGGTGCAACACTTCTACTTCTGAGTTTCTGTGGAAGAACGGGAGCTTAACTGCAGTGGGCAGGCACATTACTCCAAACTGTAAAACTACCTCCTGTCATGAAAATAGATGAAGGTTTACTTTTCCTTTGGGTAAGGCCAATCAGTAAGCACAGGTAGTCTATGATTCCACCTACCTCAGCTCTTAAAAATTCTATAGACCTTTGTTTCAGCAGAGCTCACCATCACCTATTGCAGGAGTGTTAAATAAAGTCTTCCGGGTGGGCACGGTGGCTCATGCCTGTAATCCCAGCACTTTGGGAGGCCACGGTGGGTGGATCACTTGAGCTCAGTTTGATACCAGCCTGAGCAATATGGCAAAACTCCATCTCTGCCCAAAATACAAAAATTAGCCAGGCGTGGCAACGTGAGCCTGTAGTACCAGCTACTTGGGAGGGTGAGGTTGGGGATCACTTGAGTCAGGGAGTCAGAGGTTGCAGTGAGCAGAGATCACACCACTGCACTCCAGCCTGGGTGACAGAGCAAGACTCTGTCTCAAAAAAAAATAAAATAAAATAAAATAAAATAAAATAAAATAAAATAAAATAAAATAAAATAAAATAAATCATCCTTGTCTATTTAACTTTGTCCAGTTCAAGTTTTACTTTGACAATACAGGCATACTTTGTTTTCTTGTGTTTCACAAATGTTGTATTTTTTACAAATTGAGGTTTGTAGCAACCCTGCATTCGGCAAATTTATTGGTGCCATTTTTCTGACAGCACGTGATTGCCATGTCTCTGTGTAACATTTTGATAATTCTCGCAATATTTCAAACTTTTTATTATTATTATATCTGTTATGGTAATCTATGATCAGTGATTAATGATGCTATTTTAATTGTTTGGTGGCACCACAAACCACACCCATGTAAGACGCAAACATAATCAATAAGTGCTGTGTGCTTTGACTGCTCCACTCACCAGCCTTTCTATCATTTTGCTTTCTCTTTTTGGGCCCCCTATTCTCCATAAAACAAAAATATTGAGATTAAGCCAATTAATAACCCCAAAATGACCTCTAGCTGTTTGAGTAATAGGAAGAGTTGCAGGTCTCTCACTTTTAAAACAAAAGCTAGAAATGATTAAGCTTAGTAAAGAAAGCCATGTCAACAGCCAAGATGGGCTGAAAGCTACATCTCTTGAGCCAAACAGTTAGCTAAGTTGTGAATGCAAAGGCAGAAACTTCAGGGAAATTGCAAATGCTACTCTGGTGAACACACAAATGATAAGAAACCGAAAGAGGCTTATTGCTGATATGGGAAAAGCTTTCATGGTTTGGATAGAAAATCAAACCAGCTACATTCACTTGAGCCAAAGACTTATCCAAGGAGGGCCTTAACTCTCTTTAATTCTACGCAGGCTGAGAGAGGTGAAGAAGCTGCAGAAGGAAAATTTGAAGCTAGCAGAGGATCCTTCATGAGTTTTAAGGAAAAAAAAAAAGTTGTTTCTGTAACACAAAAGTGCAAGATGAGGCAGCAATTGCTGATGTTGAAGCCGTCACAAGTTATCTACCAGATGTAGCTAAGATTATTAATGAAGGTTGCTACACTAAACAACAAATTTTCAATGTAAATGAAACAGCCTTCTATTTGAAGAAGATGCCATCTACAACTTTCATAGCTAGAGAGGAGAAATCAACATCTGGCTTCAAAGCTTCAAAGGAAAAGGTGTCTCTCTTATTAGCAGCTAATGAAGCTGTTGACTTTAAGTTAAAGCAAATGGTCATTTGGCATTTCAAAAATACTAATGTCCTTAAAAGTTATGCCAAATGTACTCTGCCTGTGCTCTATAAATACAACAACAAAGCCTGGAAGATAGCACATCTGCTTACTGCATGGCTTACTAAATATTTTAAGCCCGCCCTTGAGAATTATTGCTCAGAAAGAAATATTTCTTTTGAAATATTACTGCTCATTGACAATGACCTAGTCACTTAAGAACTCTGAGGGAGACGCAGAAGGAGATTAATGTCCTTTTTATGCCTGCTAACACAACGTCCATTCTGCAGCCCATGGATCTGGGAGAAATCTCTACTTTTAAGTCTATTATTTAAGAAATATATGTTGTAAGGCTATGTCTGCCATAGATAGTGATTCTCTTGATAGATATGGGCAAAGTAAATTGAAAACCTTCTGGAAAGGATTCATCATTCTAGATGCCATTAAGAACTTTTGTGTTTCATGGGGGAGGAGATCCAAATGTCAACATCAATAGGAGTTAGTGGGAAGCTCATTTCAACCCTCATGGGTGACTTTGAAGGGTTCAAGACTTAAATGGGGGAGGTCACTACAGATGTGGTAGAAATAGCATAAGGACTAGATTTAGAAGTGGAATCTGAAGATACGACTGCTATAATCTCATGATAAAATTTGAATGGATAAGGAGTTGTTTCTTACGAGGGACCAAAAAAGTGGTTTCTTGAGATAGAATCTACTCCTGGTACAGATACTGTGAACGTTGTTGAAAGGACAACAAGGGATTTAGAATATTACATAAACTTAGTGTATCAAGCAGCAGCAAGGCTTTAAAGGATTGACTTCAATTTTGAAAGTAGTTTTATAGTGGGTAAAATGCTGCCAAACAGCATCAAGTTTTAAAGAGAAGTCTTTTGTGAAAGGAAGAGTCAATTGGTGTGGCAAACTTCATCATCGTTCTTATTTTCAGAAATTGCCATATCCACCCAAATCTTCAGCAACCAGTCAGCAGCCATCCACTTGGAGGCAAGACACTTTACTAGCAACAAGATGATAACATACTGAAGGTATAGAAGATTGTTAGCATTTTTAGCAACAAAGTATTTTTAATTAAGGTACGTACATTCTTTTTTAGACATAATGTTATTACACACTTAACAGAGCAGGGGTCCCCAACCCTTGGGCAGCAGATGGATACTGGTCTGTGGCCTATTAGGAGCTGGGCCTCAACAGCAGGAGGTGAGCCACAGGCCAGCAAGCATTATCACCTGAGCTCTGCCTCCTGTCAGATCAGCCACGACATTAGACTGTCAAAAGAGAGCAAACCCTACTATGAACTATGCGTACGAGGAATCTAGGTTGTGTGCTCCTTATGAGAATCTAGTGCCTGATGATCTGATGTGGAACAGTTTCATTCCAAAACCATCCTCCTTGCACCATCCATGGAAAAATTGTTTTCCACAAAACTAGTTTCTGGTAACAAAATGTTGGGGACTGCTATAATAGAGAATAGTATAGTATAAACATAACTTTTATATGTACAAGCAAACAAAAAAAATTGTGTGACTCACTTTATTATGATACTTACTTTGTTGTGGTGGTCTAGGACCAAACCTGCAATATCTCCAAGGTATGCCTGTGCTACGAGACTGTTCAGTGATAGTGAAAGGTTAGATTACAAGTGATCTTTTGACCATGTCAGGATTCGGGCTTTGTTTCTGTTTTTGTTTTTTTGAGCGAGTGAGTGAGTGGGAACTTCTCTGGAGTTGTGAGCACAGGACTGTCATGATATACTTTATGTTCTAAAGTGATGACGCTGGCTGTCATGTGGAAAATAAGAATAAGAGGTAGAGACAGGAAACACATATACAGTGAAAGGATACAAAGCAAACTCAAGGAGGAAAAATGACATATGAGGTGCAATCTGGAGAAAACCAGTTCATAGTTAAAAACCTATTTCAATAATCCAGTCAATGTGTCCCTAAAAGAAAACACTCCCAGTGAGGTGAAATTCGAACAACACATCTAGTTGTTCATTTGGCATGAAAGGAAAAATATTTCATAGTACTTATTCATGTGCATTGGCTAATCGTTTGGTTAATTTGTGAGGAACTTGGAGAAACCCAGTTATAAGATTTGTGTCAAGGAGATCTGGAGGAGAAGCGTTTGTTTTTGACCTCTCAGAAAGAGGACAGAGTATGAAGATATTTGTGTCCTATTTGAATTGTTATCAAAGAGCACTGGCTGTGTCTTTTCCATGGCTTCAACCTGACAGCTCAGGCTTTTATACAGCCTCCTCCCAACACCCCCTCCAGAGCTTGGTTTAGAGGCTTCTTTCAGTGACTTCTGCTTGCTTCTCCTTCCTACATGGTTGGTTTCAGCTATTCTAACATTATAATGATAGTTGTTACAATAGTCTGTTTATTGAATCACCTGGCATGTTTGTTTGTTGCTTGTTTGTTTTTAAATCTCTGTCTGCTCACTAATGTAATTGGCTACCTTTTTATACTATGAGTTAATTGAGCATTAATGTATTCTTTAGGATAGAGCAAGTATTTGTTTATTGTAAAAAATGTTTAGTTGTTTTTGCTTGCTTGTTCTTTTGTTGGTTGTTGTTTATCATTTTTTGTTGTGTTGAGGAAATTGTATTTAAAATTTTATTTGGGTTTTCCAAGTTATGAAATAAGAAGGTCTTGGGCAAAATGATCTGTTTTCTCTGAACCAAATGTATATGTGGCTTTACGTTTCTATGTGGAAATGACATAAGAAATGAGCATGGGTCAGTCTGCCTTTACTATACAATTTGCTGGGAAGGTTCCATCAACTGTATAACACTGTTCGAAAACTCAGTCCCCATAAAGATTTGCTCTATTTCATTTACCAAAGAATGTCTACCTTGAGTAATGAAAACAGTGCCATAGCCACAGAGGTACACAACAATACGTAAACTGAAACCTTGCCATAGCTATGGGGTTTCTTAAGAGCTCTATTGAGATATGGAGGAAACTCTGAATTCAGCTTTCATGACACATTTTTATCATTTGTAAAATTGAAATAATAATACCTCCCTGTCTCTCTTGGGTGCTATAAAATGTTATTCTTTGAGAATCATGAATGAAAGTGACTATGCAAGAGCAAATTGTGATTGCTATTCTTTACGTTAATGCTAACAATGAAAAATAACATTTCTGTACTTTTCTTTATTATAGATGGTGATAGGTAACTTGTAATTTTTAAACACCATAGAAGACTACAAATTTAAGAAAATACAAGTTAAAAAAACTTTATAAAGTAGAGTATAAAATATACAAGGGAGGGAATTTATTTCATTCACTACTGTATCATGAACATACAAAATCATGTCTGATTTTAAGTATACACTTGTGGAATAAACATGTGTAGAAAGAATTTTGTTAACACATGTACGTTCACAGTTATATTAAAAAACTAACCACAAATAATATGAATCTGAATTCTGATCTACATTAAAATCTATATGATACAGACATACTTGTTTTACAAAGTAAATAATTAATTATGAGATAAAATTGCTTCATAATCAATATCATTTATATGAAAGAAGTCTAAAAGAAGTAGCTTCTTTTGTTGTTGTTTAGGAAACTAAAAATATTTGGATAACATAACCATATTAACTTTTAAATATGAATGTTTTAAAATTGTAATATTATGAATAAGAGCCACAGTAAATACTATTTTAATTTCACTTCTATTTCTCTATATTTGTGTGATGCTTATTAATCAGTCCTATGTAATTGTGCTAATATGTTTCTTGAATTTTAATGTGTCTACATAGATCATTCCTGTGTTAGTATATTATTTTCCTGCATTTACACAGGCATTTAGTTTCATGAAACATTGCCAAATTGGCATATCTTTTTACTTTCTCCTTCAAAAACCTTCTATCTCTCGGGTAGTGATAGAAATCTGAAATTCAGAACAGGTATTCTTACCATGAAATTGTATTAATAAACTTAATTAACAGAAGCAACATTATTTCAGTGACTTGCATTTATGAAACTGGCAAAGCTAAATGCTGTCATTTTGTCAAGTACCTAATCTTATGAGAGTCTATAAAATGTGAAGTTAACTGTAGTGGGTTATATGAGAAATTTTTTTAGACTTCTTTAAAACAAAAACAAATAAACAAGAACAAAAGAAAAATAAACAACAAAAGCTTTCGTCACAATTAATATCTCTCAGAATCACTACTGATTTTTTTATTGTTGTTGTTTTGACATTCGTGGGTTCTATACTGCCTTAGTTTCTTGGTTTTGATTCTCTCTCTCTGAATCCAGGACTTTGGTCAGTGAACACTTCCTCATCTCATCTGGGGATGGAGAGTTTACATCATTCAGCATATCTTCTTCTCGCTTTTTAGGTAAATATCTCATTTTTCCCCTTTTTAGTGGGAGGCAATCACTTCCATTCCTCAGAAGGTGTGCTGTTGAGGACTGAATATTGGTCTGTCTATCCTCCCCCTCCAAATTTATATGTTGATATCCTGATCCCCAACCATTGGGAGGAAATTAGGTCATGAGGTTGGAGCCTGTGTTAGTTCATTTGAATACTGTTATAAAGAATGACCTAAGACTTGGTAATATATGAAGAAAGGAGGTTTAAATAACTCACAGTTCTACAGGCTTAACAGGAAGCATGGCTTGGAGGTTTCAGGAAACTTACAATCATGGCTGAAGGCAAAGGGGAAGCAAGGTACATCTTACATTGCAGCAAAAGAGAGAGAGAGCAAGGGGCCAAGTGCCACATTTTTAAACCATCAGATCTTGTGAGAACTCTATCTTGAGACAGCACTAGGGAGATGGTACTAAACCATGAGAAACCACCACCATGATCCAATCACCTCCCCCCAGGCCCCACCTTTAACACATGGGGATTACAACTTGGCATAAGATTTGGATGGGAACAGAAAGCCAAACCATATTATTCTGCCCCTGGCCCCTCCAAAATCTCATGTCCTTCTCACATTTCAAAACAGAATCATGCCTTCCCAACAGTTCCCTAAAGCCTTAACTTATTCCAGCATTAACCCAAAAATCCAAGTCCAAAGTCCCATCTGAGACAAGGCAAGTCCTTTCTGCCTATGAGATTGTAAAATCAAAAACAAGTTAGTTACTTCCAAGATACAATGGGGGGATAAACACCGGGTAAATGCTCCCATTTAATATGGGAGGGATTGGCCAAAACACAGGGGCTGCAGGTTCCTGGGCTACAATTCCAAAACCCAGCAAGGCAGTCATTAAATTTTAGGGCTCCAAAATAATTTCCTTTGACTCCATGCCTCACATCCAGTCCACACTGATCCAAGGAGTGGGCTTCCAAGGATTTGGACAGCCCCGCGTCTGTGACTCTGCAGGGTACAGCCCCCACAGCTGTTTTCATGGGCTGGCATTGAGTGCCTATGGCTTTTCCAGTAAGATGGTGCAAGCTGTCACTGGAGCTACCATTCTGGTGTCTGAAGGATTGTGGCCCTCTTCTCACAGCTCCACTAGGCTGTGCCCTAGTGGGGACTCTGTGGGGACTCCAACCCCACATTTTCCCTCAGCATTGTCCTAGTAGAGGTACTCCATGAGGGCTCCGCCCCTATGGCAGACTTCTGCCTGGACATTCATCCATTTCCATAGATCTTCTGAAATCTTGAAAGAGGTTCCCAAACTCTTGCCTTCCGCGCACCCACAGGCCCAACACTACATGAAAGCTGGCAAGGATTGAGGCTTGCATCCTCTGAGGCAATGTCCTATGTTATACTTTGGTGCCTTTTAGCCACAGCTGGAGCTGGAGGGGCTGGGACACAAGGTGTCATGTTCTGGGGCTGCACAGAGAAGCAGGGCCCTGGGCCTGGCCCACAAAACCATTATTTCCTCCTAGGACTCTGGGCCTGTGATAGGAGGGGCTGCTTCAAAGATCTCTGAAGTGCCCTGGAGACATTTTCTCCATTTTCTTGGCTATTAACATTTGGCTTCACATTACTTATGCAAATTTCTCCAGCTGGCTTGAATTTCTTCCCACAAAATAGGTTTTTCTTTTCTACCACATGGTCAGAGTGCAAATTTTCCAAATGTTTAGGCTCTGCTTGCCTTTTAAACGTATGTTTCAATTTCAGATCATTTCTTTTTGAATGCATGTGACTGTATGCTGTTAGAAGCAGCCAGACTCCATCTTGAACACTTTGCTGCTTAGAAATTTCTCCCACCAGATACCCTAAGTCATGTCTCTCAAGTTCAAAATTCCACAGATCTCTAGAGCAGAGGCACAATGCTGCCAGTCTTTTTGCTAAAGAATAGCAAGATTTGCCCCTGGCCACAATAAGTTCCTCTTCTCCATCTGAGACCATCTCAGCTTGAACTTCATTGTTCATATCACTATTAGCATTTTGGTCAAAACTACTCAACAAGTCCTTAGGAAGTTCCAAACTTTCCCTCATCCTCCTGTCTTCTTCTGAGCCCTCCAAACTGTCCCAGCCACTGCCCTGTTACCCAGTTCCAAAATTGCTTCCACATTTTCAGGTATCTGTATAACAGTGCCCCACTCTTCTAGTACCAATTTTCTGTAGTAGTCCATTCTCACACTGCTATAAAGAACTACCTGAGACTGGGTAATTTATGAAGAAAAGACGTTTAATTGACCACAGTTCTGCAGGCTTGACAGGAATCATGACTGAGAGGCCTCAGGAAATTTACAATCATGGTGGAAAGCAAAGGGGAAGTAAGGCATATCTTAAAAGATATCAGGAGAGAGAAAGAGCAAGGGGGGAGGTGCCACACTTTTTAACCATCAGATCTCGCGAGAACTCTATCACAAGACAGCAGTAGGGGGGTGGCACTAAATCATTAGAGACCACCCCTGTGATCCAATCACCTCCCACCAGACCCCACCTTCAGCATGTGGGGATTATAATTTGACATGAGAGTTGCTTGGGCACACAGAGCCAAACCCTATCAGAGCCCTTATGAATGGGATTAGTGAACTTATAAAAGAACCAGAGAGTTGCCTCACTTTCTTTCTCCCATACGAGGATATAACAAGAAGTTAGCAGTTGCAGCCTAGAGAAGGACCCTCACCGGAGTCTTGACCATGCTGAAACCATAATCTCGGACTTCCAGTCTCCAGAAATGTAAGGAATAAATCTGTTGTTTATAAGTTACCAAGTCTATGATACTTTATTGTAGCAGCCCAAACTGACTATAAAAGTTCCATTCAACCAGCACGTTGCTTTTTCCTTATGGCCTGCTACAATGCATGACTGCTTCACCAGTTTTCTATTTAATGTTTATCAACAAATTATACCCTCTGTAAATTTCCATGTTCATGTTTGGTCATCTCCCAATTTGTAAATATGGTATATTTCAAATATTCATTCATAAATTCAGTTAATACCCAAAATGCATTATTTCTGGTAACAATATTATAATTATGTATATAGAATCAAGCCAATGCCAAAACTTTTGAACAATATTATTTGGCTATATGGAGCCAAACCATTATAACATGTTTACTCTGGGAAATACATTTATCTTTCTTTTTTCTTTATTAATATACTTTAAGTTCTAGGGTACATGTGCACAACGTGCAGGTTTGTTACATATGTATACATTAGGAGATTTATCTTTCTAAAATGTTAACATATTTCTAAAACTATAGTGACTTGGATGTAAGCAATGTATAAGTAGTAAGAAAATACATACATTTAAAATATATATATATTATCATTAGCAGCAGCTCCTCCCAAACCTGATGCTACTCCATCCAGTTTGTTTTTAACAAAACAATTTCAAATTTCTTATCATACTGGGAGTCCCCAAGAACTGTTTCACTTGGGCCTTAAGAAATAATCCTAAAAAGTTTTATGTAGTATCTACTCTAGACTATCTGCTATTTTTCTCCTTTTCTCACTATACATCTAATTTTTGTTGTCAGCCTTACCAACAGTCACCATCAACAGCATTGCTTCTTCAGTTAGAGTTACTTATTTTCAAGGTTTAGCTTATTTCTGTCATCACTGGGTCCTCCACCAATGTCAGTGTGGTCAACCTTGCTGGCAATGCTTTCCTATCAATTGTTCACACACTATTACTAAATATTAATAACACTGATACCTTATAAGCTCAAGTTTCCAAGGAGAAGATAAAGTACTAGCATTTTTGCTTTTTTTAACTAATTTAGTAAAACCTTCACAGCTATATGAAAGAGAGCTAAGGTAATAGAGGGCTTTGCAAGTTAGACATGAAAAGAAAGCAAAATTCTAGGGTGCTGAAGGGAAGTTAAAAATAAACTCCATGAGAAAATCTCCCAAATGTTTTCCCTTCTTATGCTTTCTTCTCCTTCATAAACAGTATTACCTTTCTAGACGTTGGATTTCTTAAAATCTAAAATATAACATACATAATAAGTGGGCATAGGAACATAAGCAAAAATTTCTTTAAAAATACCTGAGTAGCCATTATTTAGGCCAAGACATACAATATTTTTTGAATTTTTTTGTGAGGGGCTTCTTTTAGCTCAAAATTTAGATTTTAAATTTATCTATTTTGATGTGTATGGCTCCAGGTCTTTGTTTTCACTGCTATGCTAAGTGATTGTACAAATATCCTATAAATTATCATACCATTTGTAGGTCCTAAGGATAGTTTTGTACAAAACAGTTTTTTACAAAACTGATACAGTTTTGTAAATATATCTTAATATACATGTGCAAGAGTTTTTCTGGGGGATTAACTAGGAGTAGGATTGCTAATTATAGAATATATGCATACATGTTCATCTCTACTAGGTCACACTAAACTGATTTACAAGGTAGCTATAATAGTTACCATTCCCACCAGCCAATAGCCATGTCAAAGATGATATTAGTTGACCTTGCCCATCTGCTGAGTACAAAATTGCATATCATTGTGGTTTCAATTTTCATTTCCTTGACTATTCATTAATTTAACATCTTTTTATGAATTTTGTGGGCTAGTTGTGTTGCTTTTTCAGTGAAATTTATGAAATTGTTTTGTCATTTCATTTATTATGATAATGTGAAGCATTTATTTTAGATTGTATTTTAGTCATTATAGTTAGAAGATCTGTATACTTTGGCTGTCAGCTTCCAAGCCAAAAAATTATCAAATAATATCCTTCTGTTCCAGTTTCTGTCACTCTGAGAGCCAACTGATACTCATAAGACTGTTGCAATGTGATGTGTGGAATACTACAAAAGTATTCTTTAAAACTTCAAAAGAGTCTTCCTTTTATTGATAGAGTCAAAGAATTGATCAATAATGAACTACTGATCATAAGAATTATTCTTTAGCTATTTTGGATACATGCTCTGTTAATTTTATGCATTGTAAGCTCTTCTTTTGGATTGTTGACAAGTGTTCACATTTTGTAAGTGTCTTTTGGTGAACATAAATTCCACCTGAAATTGTTTTTTGTGTATTATGTGAGATTGGAATCCCATTATTGCAGGACCATTTATTATCCATGAATCTATAATACTCCTTGATTTTGGAATGTTAAGCAAACATTCTGGTTATCTTAGACTTTCAATTAAGCTCAGTCATAGATAATAATTAAGTATTGGGGCTATAAACTATGCCAACTGGAGCAGTGTATTTCCCTTTGGCTGCAAGTAAAAACATGTTCTAAGATTTATTCTTCAATGTAATGTTATGAAGAATTTTTTGTCTCCTCCATCACTGAAGCTCTTAAGTTGATAAACATCACTAGATTTGGCCAGATTCAGGCTCTGATAGAACAAATGCAGAAATGAGACACTGGTTACCTGAATTGTGATTTTGGCTGTATGTTATTTCATTTTGCATTTTTGAAAAAGTCAGAAAAACTCTTTTAGGTATCTAAGCATTATCTATAACTATGTCAAAATAAAAGTATCTACCCATTTCCATTCATTAGTTTAAACGCATATCTAAGTAATGTTGTTCATTGATTATGATAATTTAAAGCATTGATTTTAGATTGTATTTTAGTCATTGTAGTGACATCTTTATACTTTGAATGTCAGTTTCAAAGCCAAAAATGTATCAAATAATATTTTAATGTTCTAGTTACTGTCACTCTGAGAGCCAACTGATACTCCTAAGAATGTTGCATTGTTATGTATGAAATACTACAAAACTATTCTTTAGAACTTCGAAATAGTCTTCTTTTTATTGATAGAATCAAAGAATAAGAGGACACCAAAAAAACTATTCGTTATTTTATTTCATAACTATCAATCATGCCATTTTCAATTTGCCACACATTCACTGCCTAATAGAAGAGAATCATGGTAAACAAACCTGTTCATAGTTTTAGTCAGCAGTGACACACTTGCCCACACACTTAGTCCACATTTCTTGAGTTTTCAGCCTCTCTAGAAGCATAATTCAGAAACCTAAAATTACTAAAACATTTTACAAAGAAAAAGAGGAGCAAAGGCAACTTTTCTAGCAATAACAGGTTCTTTAAATCAAAGCATTTTCTAGACATATAGTGGAATAATAATTCATAAGGTTGCCAGTTACCATGTTCATTTTATTTGATATAATTTATTAATACCCAAAGCTAGCCAGCACACTGCTATTAAGCAGAGCACAGGGAATGTTAAATAACAGAAAGTAATAGAAATTTTATCACGTAGAAAAATAATCTGATAAATTACTATAAATAAATACAAAATAGAAAAAGATAAGAAAAAACTGCATTTGCAATTTAAAGCTGTCGGGCAGGTGTGTAATGTCACATGCTTGCAGAATCCTATTTATAAATGCACATTTTAATACCAACTCATTGGCCCTATTCATTAAGAGGAAAAGTGCTGATTAGAAACAATTTTCATTTTTTCCATGCACCCCAAGAGTTCTTTCTAAAAAAAGTCTTTCTAATTAGTTTAGACTCATTTTTAATGAATTCATAAATTTTTATGAATTCATAAATATTGTTTCTGAGATTGTTGCTTAAGCAGTATATACACATGTGTATACATTTACATAATGTATAAATTATAAAGGTGTGTGTGCATGTGTGTGTGTGAGAGGGAGAGAGAGAGAGGAAGAGAGAGAGACCATCGAATAATTTTATTTAAAGAGAAAATCATTAGTGAACAATAGCTATAATTAATTTGTATTGTATCCTTGAGGGTTAAATATAACCAGTGTATGATTCTAAAAGCCATAAAATTCAACACTGCACTAAAAATTAATAAGGATGCTTCTCTTTATGCATTTTCTATGCTTTTCTGTGAAAGGAAACTTTCTCTTATATTTTCTTTTCAAAGAGCATATTACCATTTGGAATTCTGGCTTATCCTAAGGCAGATCCCATATAAGTAGGTATTTAATTCTGTAATTGAAGCTTTTAAAGTAAGAGTTGGATATGATTTATTTATGTTTCAGAATTATACATTTGTAGTAATGCCAACAATCAGTGGAAGTTCAGGACATCATGAGCCAACCATAGGAGTTGGGGAAGTTAGTTAGGATGCCATGGTTAGAAGCTGAAAAAGGGATGATGAGCCTATAAACAAGAAAGGTAGCTGTGGGAATGAGAGGTAGAAGACAGATTCCAGAGCTATTCAGGAGACGGAATTAACACGATGTGCTGACTGATTGAATGTGAGAGAGGAGATAAATGAATAAGTTGAGGATCATAATGAGGTTTCCTAGCTTGGGTGACTCACTGAATGGTGATTTCATTAACTGAAAGGAAAGCTGAAGAGGAAAGAGCAATTTTGGAGAGGAAAATAAGGACTTTGGCCTGGATGTATTGAAACTAAAGTCTATGTAAAATATACCTTGTAACCATTTTACAATACATGTTATATTACAACACAGGTTATATGATTGGGGGTTATTATAAATACAGATTTTTTAAATTCACTGGAATAAAAGATCACTCTTATGAAGGGATTAACTTAGCCCTCTAAAATCATATAGAATGAGCAGAGAAAAGTTCCAAAAACTGAACCCTGCATTACACAAATATTTAAGAGGTAGTTAGTGAAAGGTATACCAGGAAAGAAGGAAAAAAGAGTGGCCAGATAGGAGAAAGCAGAATTAAGGGACTAGATAATTGTACTATTGAGTTTCATGAGTGAAATGATTTCCCCAAAAATTGCTGCCAGAAATGTGGAGAAGATGTCACAGTTAAAAAAAACCACTGTGGACTTTTTGAGCATTTTTTGAAGGAATATTTAAGGTAGACACCAAATTGCAATGGGTAGGGGAATTAAACTGAATGGTGAAGAGCTCATGAGCTCATGGATTTGTCTCCAGTTGTTATCTTGTGTATTAGATCTGTTTAACTATATCATGGGAGTACTTTATTACAGTTCATCTTGAGTTGGCTCCAAGTTGGCACTGCTGTTAGGCAGTGCTTTTTTCATAACTATGGGCCCCATTTTAAACAAATGCTTAAAAGTGATTAATCTCCTGGCTTAAAGACATTTAAGACTGAAATTAAAACCATTTCTGTCACTGTTCCTGGAAATTTGTAAACTTTAATCTCTAAATCTTCTCCTCTATATGAATGGTTTGGTTTTTATATACCATTTTGATATTTATGGTGGAAGCTATTATTCACTGAAAAGGAAGAATTTTACTTCACTCAGATTTCAATGTATTTAATAGTATCTGATAGAAGCCTTAAAAGTACATAAAAAGACAGTGGTACACCTCTTTCAGAAGATAATATTTCAGAATGTCAGATTTCCTACTTTACTACAAATGAGTATATAATAAATAGAACTTTAAGGCACTCTGGTAAGATTATTAGGCAAATCTGGTGTGCACTCCTTTGAGATCATACAATATGTATGAATTACAATTTTGTTGTTGCTACAAAACAAAGATGAAATCTTAAAAGCAACCAGAATATCTTTAAAGATTTAACCTTAGATGTCAGTGTAATAGAATATCTTTCCATTTGCTAAAACATTGCAAGATACCTTGGCAAACTACATTCACCACTTAAAGTCCTGGTGAGGATTCTGCTTTAAAACACTGTATTTACTACTAGATACCCTTTGCTCAATTTTAAAATTTCCATCTCTTTCATATACCATTTTCCCACACATGTTCAGTACAATTCAGATATAACCATGCATATTATGTAGCTTTCCACCAGGAAAGAGATAGTACATTCAAATTTAAATACATTGAAAGAGCTTAGTAAAAGAACCACACACATAGTTGTAGTGAGGAATAGGAAACCCACAAAACACAGTGAAATCTCAGGGGCTAGAATGGCTCCCATAACAACTCTAGGTATTTGGAGGGAGAGAGATAACAGTGACCCGGAAACTAGAGACAGAGGGCCGTGAGGCAAATCTGCTTGCAGAAGATGAGGTAGGTCAGACTACTGCAGCAGAAGTAGTGGCATTTGTAGTAATGCCAAAGATCAGTGGAAGTTCAGGACATCATGAGCCAACCATAGGAGTAGAGAGAAGAAATGTTGATTTAACTATCTCCTTTCCTTCCTTTTATTCCCTGTCAATGGTCCTCAATGATGGAACCCAGAAGACAAGAGAGTCTGTTGGTATAGTCAGTACAACATAGAGCCCACCACTGCATAATCATCACTCAAAACACTGTTACATTACATAACTTAACACGTTATGTTATATAAATTCATGCTATATAGAGCATTCTGGAGGGACCTACATCTGGATAGACAGTAACATAGAATAGATCTCGATAGTGTTAAGTATATATATATATATACACACATATACATACATATATATATGCATATAAAATGAAAGGGCATTCAACATAGTCTTCAGGGAAATAAAAATTTTAAAGAATATAATATTTTAACATACACCATTAGAATGGCTTAAAAAAAAACCCAAAAACAGTGAAGGAAAAATAAAAAACTGATATGACCAGATACTGGTGAAGAAATCAAGCAGTCTAAACTGTCATATATTACTTTTCAGAGTGCCAATTGATATATGACTGTTATATTCTACCCAAACTGGTACAACCTAAGAACAAACAATATATAGAGAAATGTATTATTTTGTGTAGAAATGGTTTGTACAGGATACTGATAACAATACTATTTACGAAAGTCAAAAGCAGAAATAACCCAAATATCCACCAACAGTAGGATCAGTGAGTAAACTGTGGCATATATATATGATGAAATTAAAACAAACATCCAATAATATGGATAAAATCACAATGCTTAGTGAAAAAAGTCAAACATGAAAAAAAGTATTTTTTAATTTATATGACATTCATTTATATAACATAGCATATGTTAAGTTATATAAAATTAAAAGTGGTGATAATCTTCCATATCTTGATTTGAGTGGTGACTATGCAGGTATATTCACTTTGCAAATATTCACCAAGCTGAATGATTATAATGTGTTCACTTTTGTGTATGTATTTTATAATAAATGTTTAAAAGAGGATTTTCTTAAAAGAAAATGGTAAGGAAAGTATGGATGAAAGGTCTAATAAAGATACCTAGCACACTACAGCAGTGAGAGATCTTCTCTAACTTCTGGCTTTGCCTAGCGCTACGTGGAAATAATGCTCACCAGTATGGTAAGCAACTTCTGATTTGGACATCAGAGGTCATTATGCAGAAGATAAAAATGTAAGGATTTCATATCCTTAGAATTGGGAAACCTTCCATTTGGCTGTAATTACATCACAAACCATCTGTTTTATTAATATCTTTGTGCCTCATTTTCCTCATTTGTAAACTGATGAAATTGAGAGAAATAATTTCTAAGATTTTCTGCCAATTCAATGTCTTTCTTGCCAATTATAATTTAGAAAGATGATAGGTAGATAGATACAGACATAGACAGGTACATACATGCATGCA